>NC_000006.12:12332727-12484242 GCF_000001405.40 Homo sapiens
ATAGGCCCAAGGCTCATAAATGTGCCGTGAGTTTACCTTATGTAAGACCTTTTTTTTTTTTTTTTTTTTGAGACAGAGTTTTGCTCTTGTTGCCCAGGCTGGAGTGCAATGGTGTGACCTTGGCTCACTGCAACCTCCACCTCCTGGGTTCAAGCGATTCTCCTGCCTCAGCCTCTTGACTAGCTGGGATTACAGGCTTGTGCCACTACGCCCGGCTAATTTTGTATTTTTGGTAGAGATGGGGTTTCTCCATGTTGGTCAGGCTGGTCTCAAACTCCCGACCTCAGGTGATCCATTCATTAAAAACAAATTCAGTATGGACTTAAGAGTTAGATATGAAAACTAAAAACATATAAGAACTACAACAAAATATAAAAGAATCTTTTCTTTCTGATCTCTTCAATGAGAAACCATTTGGAAGCACAAAAGCAAAAGTAGAAAGCTAATTTAAAAGAGCATCTCCTATGTTTTATGTATAAAATATACAGAGAAAGTTTCATTTCCTTCTTTAAGCCTCCATCTCCATATTTTGAACCACAACATGTATGCCTGTTGAAATCAAGAATACAACAAAAAACATCCTTTTAATAATTAAACCAAAGTGGAAAAAAAAAAGGTGTGTACTTATTCCATAACATCTCACATCATCACCCAGGCAAAACCACTGGAGTTACTAGGGTGCCCCTTTAGGTGCACATTTTTTTTTTTAATATTTTTGTTTCTGCTTGCTATTAAATTTCTACCCTACCTTCAAAAGTTTGCACTGAGAGCCAGGCATGGTGGCTCACGCCTGTAATCCCAGCACTTTGGGAGACCAAGGCGGGTGGATCAAGAGGTCAGGAGATCAAGACCATCCTGGCCAACATGGTGAAACCCCATCTCTACCAGATATTCCATTTTAGCTGAAAGCATAAGGGATTAATCTCACAAGAGGAAGTAGATTCAATTTAATGGCAAGTTTTTTGCCTCTGTGATCGAATACAGTCATGTGCCACATAATGAAGTTTCAGTCAACGACAGATCACACATATTACATGGTCCCATAAGATTATAATACAGGGCCGGGCACGGTGGCTCATGCCTGTAATCCCAGCACTTTGGGAAGCCGAGGTGGGCAGATCACGAGGTCAGGAGATCAAGACCATCCTGGCCAACATGGTGAAACCCCGTCTCTACTAAAAATAGAAAAATTAGCTGGGCATGGTGGTGGCATACGCCTATAATCCCAGCTACTCAGGAGGCTGAGGCAGGAGAATCGCTTGAATCCGGGAGGCAGATGTTGCAGTGAGCCAAGATCGTGCCACTGCACTCCAGCCTGGGTAACAGAGCAAGACTCCATCTCAAAAAAGAAAAAAAAATTGCGTACAGCTGTAGGTAGAGGACTAAAGAAGGCCAAGCAGGTACACAGCACAATTTATTACCAATTTACCACAATCTACCACAGTTTATCTGGTCCTGGGGTTCATCAAGGAATGATCTGCATTCTGAGATACTCCCTCTCCTCATGTTCCAGGTATTTGTGTCTTGAAAGAAATTCCTGCCTTTGTTGAACTCATCTTCCTCTTACATTTTACACTTGTGTCTTCCTCTTTTTTCGTTTGTTCTAAACTTCTCACAGTGGATTCTGGCTACCCATATTCTCAGCCCTGTATCCCACTTGGTGTGTGTGCATGCACACACACACACACACACACACACTATGCTTCATCTACCATTGTTATACCTGGACCACCTATTGTACCTTTATACCTTCATTCTGTTCTCTCTGCTTGGATTTTTAATTTTTTTTTCTCTTTTCTTTACAGCAAACTCTGTTCCTTCTTTAAGCGCCAACTCAAAAGCTCTTTTGTGCATGATCAAGCCTTTCCTGATGCCCTTGGTGAGAGGGGAGCTCCCCTCCCCTCAGCTCTGGCCACAGTGTATCCGGATGGCCACTGTCCCACTGCAGCACGTGGGCTTGTTAGCTGTGATGGCTCCTGGAGGGCTGAGGCCACGTTCAATGCTGTGTCTAATTCAGCTTTGTATCCCCAACATCTCACACAGTACATAAAACAGAATAAACACTTTTGTTTATAAATGACTCAATGAGTGACATTGTGAATGGTGAAATAAAAACTGGTTACTACATCTCTCCATGAAGTAGTCTTTAACTCTTTGAGGCAGAGTATCACACCATTATTCCTTAGCAATTTTGTCTTTGAGAGAAATAATCCCCACCCCAAATCATATTTGTTTTATGTCTCATTTTTCAACTTGTTGTATATTGGAATCTGATATGCTTAGCATCTGAAGTATGAGATTTACCATAACAAAGGTCAGGGGAAATTCTAGCCTTTGGATTCTACTTCTTGGTTTTGTATATTTAAAGTTTCAGGTACATCAAGTTTTTTGGAAGTGAATAATAAAACTTGAGAGGTTTCACTTATTTGCCTGAATTAGGATATTTATTCCTATGACAATTATTATATTACTCCTTCAATTCCAAACAGCTACCAGAAAGCTCCCAGGCAGGTATTATGCTTTTAGTAACTTATTTACTTAACCACAGAAATTGGCCCACTGTATGCTAATAGGCTGCTACTTTTGCTTCCTTTCTGGAAGGCCCCATGTGAAGTCCCAACCAAGAATTTTTTGCAAGTTGAGGGCCATCGTAGGTGAAGGGCCAGTCTGAAAGGGCCAGTTTACTGTATGCAGTTTACCAGCTGGTGATCAATGTGTAACTTTGATCAAGGGTTATCCTGGACCACTCTGCTGAGTACTTGTCATCTATTAGCTCAGATTCATTTTTCACAGCAGCCTTGTAATACACTTATTATTATTTTTAATACATTAGTATTATTTCCAGTATTTCCAGGTAATGAATGAGAGCCTAAGAGAAGTTAAATCATGGGCCGTAGCTCACCTAAACTAGTACATGGAGAGACGGAACCAAAGCTCTGTGGAGTCCAAAGCCCTTGTTCTCTTCATTAGACCCTCTTATCTCATGAGAGTAGAAATTTGACAAGCCACAGGGAGTGATAGTGGGTTTTTATCAGACCTTCAAGGCTCTTTAAAACACTGTAGTTAACATTGAGAAAGCAAATCTTCTGGACTTCCAGGGTTTCCCTTTGGTAGACCTGCCTCTTAAGGGTTATTCATTCTGACACCTGTTGGTGGGGACACATCTCAAAGGCTGGCTGAGCACACAAAGGAAGAGGTTTGAGCTGGTACCAGTCTCATCCAAGGTCACCTGCACTGGGAAGGGGGTGCAGACCTGTCCTATTCTGCAATTAACTCAGGGCTTTTGTTTTCTTTTCAACGGCCCAGATTTTTCAACTGAGCCATTTTCAGAGCAGCAAAGATGGGAAGGCCAATTCTTCCTGTCTTTGCTGCTCTGAAAAGTTCCTTATTTGTAGGTTTCTTTTTTTGTTTGCTTGTTTGAGATGGAATAAAGAAAGGCCTCAGTTCAGACTTACCACCCAGTGGGCCAAAAGAAGTAAAGTGACCCCTTTCCTTGCAGAGCCCTCCAGGGCAGAGCCTGGCTGAGGGCTGACTTCATCTCACATACCTACTGACAAACAAATAAACAAAGGAGGAGTTTTAAACTAGTAGCCATAACAAAAGTGCAAACAGAGAATTAGCTGGAAGCCAAGAAATCGCTGGAAGCTGCTTCTGCTGTCACGCAACACTGCTGGCCTTAAACCTAGAAGACTCCAGAAACAGTCCTTGAAGCCACAGCAGGCAACTAAATCCCACCCACTCAGCACCAGGCCAGAAAGATGACCCTCAATACAGTGGGGAAGAAGTGAGGGTTTACCTCCACACCTTCATCCCACGCCACTTACCTAAGTAGTGTTTTGGTGTCAGTTGCCAACTGATAAGGGCTTTCCCTTATTTCATTCCGCAGGGAAAATTGGTCTTTTAACAGGTGAAATAGGGAACTCCTCCAGTACTAATTTACTGTTGAATGTTTATTTCCTCTTGTGTAGTTCTATTTTATATATTTTCTCCTCTCAATTGATGAATTACGTAAGCAAGCACTGATGAGGCCCTTTTCATTCCAGACACTCAAATGACAACTCTGGCTACCCATGCTGGTTTCACTTAACTTCTTCACCTAGGTAGCTCCTGGTTTGAGTCAAACAACACTCAGAGATTTGTGGGCTATTCAAGCTCAAAGAAACACTAGAGAATTACAATATTAATAATAACTAACATTTATCAGATGCTTGCTATGGGCCAAGACTTTTGCTATGATTTTGTATTTTTGTTTGTTTGTTTTTTGTTTTTGTTTTTTTGAGACGGAGTTTCGCTCTTGTTGCCCAGGCTGGAGTGCAATGGCGCGATCTCAGCTCACTGCAACCTCCGCCTCCTGGGTTCTAGTGATTCTCCTGCCTCAGCCTCCCGAAGAGCTGGGATTACAGGCATGCGCCACCAAGCCTGGCTAATTTTTGGTATTTTTAGTAGAGACAGGGTATCTCCATGTTGGTCAGGCTGGTCTCGAACTCCTAACCTCAGGTGATCCGCCCACCTCGGCCTCCCAAAGTGCTGGGATTACAGGCGTGAGCCACCACACCTGGCTTGTATTTTATAATTTTATTTAAACCTCATAATATTCCTGATTATCTCTATTTAATGGAGGAGTGGGCTGGAAGTAAAGGAGTTAAAAACTCTCCCAAGCCCGTTCTTCCAACCCACTGTGGCAGAATCATTGCTTAACACTTCTTTTTTTTTTTTTTTTTTTTTTTTTTTTTTTTTTTTTTTTGAGAAGGAGTCTCGCTCTGTCGCCCAGGCTGGAGACAATGAGATATAGGCTCATTGCAAGCTCCGCCTCCTGGGTTCGCGCCATTCTCCTGCCTCAGCCTCCCGAGTAGCTGGGACTACAGGCGCCCGCCAGCACACCTGGCAAATTTTCTGTATTTTTAGTAGAGACGGGGTTTCACCGTGTTAGCCAGGACGGTCTCGATCTCTTGACCTCGTGATCCGTCCGCCTCGGCCTCCCAAAGTGCTGGGATTACGGGCATGAGCCACCGCGCCCGGCGCTTAACACTTCTTTACCCTCTCAATTTAACAGAAGCATGGGCAAGATGGATGACAGCCTAAGGTCACACAGAGAGTTACCACCACTTGCTTCTGGTGCTAATTGACTGACAAGGTCCAAAACCTCTGAGTTTAAAGCAATGAAAGTACATACATTCACGTGTCGCTTAAGGATAGACACACGTTCTGAGAAATTTGTCCAGCGGTGATTTCATTGTCATGCAATCAACACAGAATGTACCTGCTATTTACACTTACATTACTACGGTATATAGGCAATACTGTAGGCAATTAGAACACCGTGTTAAGGATTTGTGTATCTAGACAGAGAAAAGGTACGGTAAAAATACAGTATGAGGATCTCACAGGACTCTCGTGTATGCGGTCAGCATTGACTGAAATATCACGTGGCATCTGACCGTATTTACAATAACGGGAGGCAGTGGACACTATCTGACTCCTGAAATCAGATCACCTAGGTGACTCCTTCAAAACTGTGGATGTTTGGCTGGGCGTGGTGGCTCACGCCTGTAATCCCAGCACTTTGGGAGGCCGAGTTGGGTGGATCACGAGATCAGGAGATCGAGACCATCCTGGCTAACACGGTGAAACCCTATCTCTACTAAAAATACAAAAAAGAAAAAAAATTAGCCAGGCGAGGTGGCAGGCACCTGTAGTCCCAGCAGTTCAGGAGGCTGAGGCAGGAGAATGGCGTGAACCCAGGAGGCAGAGCTTGCAATGAGCCTAGATCTCACCACTGCACTCCAGCCTGGGCAACAGAGTGAGACTCCATCTCAAAAATACACACAAAAAACAAAAAACTGTGGATGTGTGGGAAACTGATCTGCAAAGCTGATGATGCAGACAGCATTCCAACATGCCTTCATGCACACAGCACTTACTCATGATAAAGTTAATAAATAGGGCTTCGTTCTCTTTCCTCTTGTGGTGTTCCCCCCTTTAGCCATGGTCTGCTGAGAACAATTTTGTCTTTGCTCCTACTTCCCATGCCTGGAAGGGAAATGTAGTCTTTTGTTGGTTCACACCCGGCTTTTGTGACATAAAATGGGGAAAAGTAAGTTGAGAATGCATGTTTAAAGTGTAAGAGGTTCCTGAACCGCAGCAGGTGGAAGATAGCTGGAGAAAAGAGGGCAGGGATTTTAAGAAGGGTTTCTGAGGCGTGTACATAGATCCTCCCTAGAAGTTTCTCAAGAGACACCATAATAATTGCAATGAGTTTTAAATATTTGTTCGTGGATACCCAGTGTTTCTCTGAATAAGAGAGCAAGTCAGGAATAGGCCAAATGGAGCCCTGGTTTTTATATGAGTTGCACATTCATGTTACAAGAACTTACTGAACACCTATTTTGTCCTAAGGATGCAAAGATAAATAAGGAAAGAGCTCTACCATTAAGAATCTTACACACAGGTGTCTGCCTTCCTACCCGGAATGATTGCTAGACCTTTGCCCATCTCGGCTGTGTGCCCAATAGATCTGCACCCAATAGGAAATAAAATATATCGAAACAAATTCAAGGTTCTTGGTTTGGGAGGGGTAGACTGAAACCCATAATGTTGGGAGTGAACTGAAAGACACCTTAATTTGACCCCTACATTTTACAAATAAGGAAACCAAAGCCCAGAGATTAAAGTGGCTTAGCCAGGCTCTTGGGGCAGCAGAATCCCAACAGAATCAAGAGAGGGGCCCCAGTGCTCTTGAGACTTCATCTGCCTCCTCTCCCACGGGCTCCTCAGGCATTACTGGGGCAAATCTGGGGACCCTGCATGGAAGCCCATCTCGCTAATTCATATTGGGAGTGGCAGACATTGTCAGGGGCTGTGAGAGCAGCCAGGTAGAGGCTAGAGGCTGATGGCCCCCTGCCGTGGTAAATGCCTATGATTCAAGTCATAGCCCTCACCTGGGGCAGAGGGCAGGTCCTCTTGCCTGCTCCGAAGTCTTGTCTTCCCTTGGATTCTGACGCTGGTGTCCCTCTAAGCTGGCCAGTGGGCTCTGGTCATCCAGTGCTATCTTTTGTGGAGGGGACAGGGACAGAGTGCTAAAAAGACTCCATGCTTTTCTGAACACTACTGACTTTCCGCCTCACTCTGCAGCCTCCTCAATGGGAGCCTCACACACTGGCTGGACACTGACACTCGGGAAGATCAAAGGTTCATCAGGACACCAGTTCATTCTGATTATTTCTCAACTGTTTGGGTTTGTCTGGGTGGGGAAAGAAAGGACAGTTCTGCTTGAGGTGCCACCAAAACACTGCCTGAGTGGCAGTGGAGCCGGGGAGGCTGGGCGGCTGGATGTGGTCCCACCGGGACCGTTCGCCAGTGGTGTCGCTCTGATGCCTGATTTATTTGTGTATTTGGCAGATGGGAAGGAGGAGTTCCACTGGGTGATAAATTGCCTGCACTGACCTATCCCTGTCAGTGGTAAGCCTGCCTGCCACCCACCCCCACACACCGCACCAAAGCAGTTCAGTCTCTTAGAGTACATTGTCAAGAGGAGAAGAGTTGGGATGGGGGCAGATTATAATGTCACCAGTGAATCCTCAGGGCTGTGGGTCTGTGGAGCTGAATGCTGGAGGGCATAAACAGTGCTTTCCTTTCTTGCTTTCCATCAGACGCAGAGTCCCTTCCCTATGTGGCCTCCAGAACTGTTGAGCAGGACGGGGTGAGGGAGGCAGTAGAGGCCTGGGTCTGGCCCTGGGTTCTGGTCACCTCTACGAACAACTCAGGGGCAAATAGTTTTCTGGGCCATTGTGGATGACTGTGATCCCAGCCTTTCCTATTGCCCTCCCAGAAATGCAAGCCACAACATGAATTCCCTGCGTGGCCTTGAACAAGCCACTATACTTCTCTGGCACTCTGTTTCCCCATCGATCAATGATTATCTCTGTCCAGTCATAACAGACCATTTTGGTCTCCACACCAACAGCGTCGTTGGTGTCACCTCCTGCCCCTACTCCACGTTGGAATTCCTGGGGACTTTTATTGAAAATATGTATTCCTGGATGCCATGCCAAGAAATTCTGACTTAATGGTGCTGCGGTGGGCTCACTTATCCGAATTTCTAACAGCACCCCAGATGACATTTTAATGCATTTAATGCATTTCTTTTCTCTAAATCCATGTCAAGTTAAAACACTTAGTACTGGATCAAGTAATTTATTGTGTTGATTTCTAATGATTTCACTCACATAAAGCCAGTCTGCTTTGACTAGTGCACAAATGGCATCGCAGCCAACACTTCATTTTTTTACTTTTACAAAATTATCCTACAGTGGAGATAGGGAGGGGACACGAGGGAACTTTCTGGGATGGCAGATATATTAGGGGTGTAAGTTTACACTGGTGTATGCATTTGTCAAAATGCGTTGAATTATAACACTAAGATCCGTGCATTTCATAGTATCTAAATTATACCTTAATTAAATGAAT
Organism: Homo sapiens; assembly: GCF_000001405.40. NCBI lineage: Eukaryota > Metazoa > Chordata > Mammalia > Primates > Hominidae > Homo > Homo sapiens. The sequence goes on from NC_000006.12 coordinate 12,341,194, forward strand.
GAAATTTAAGAAGAAAAATGGCAAAAACACCAACTCAAAATTCCCCTACAGATAACACAAACGCATTCAGCATGAAGAAGAAGTGCTTCATTTGAGGGACGCTGTCAGCGGCATTAGAAAAGGCTCTGTCACTAACAACTTGTTTCTAAACTAAAGTCTTTCCCACCCTTCCCGCCAACGGGGCAGGCAAAGCCAATTGTAGCTTTAGCAAGTAGAGCGAGACAGGCAGAGATGCTGGAAAGACTTGGAGAAGCTGGCCTGGAGAAGCTGTATCTGCCCTGTTTTAGTGCAGCGGGCACTAAAAAAGCCTGAGGCTTAAACATGTGGTCTGTAAACAAGCAGCCCATAGCACCTCTCTCCCCTCCGCCCCTCCCTCCACTGTCACCGGGATGAAGCTGTGAAGACTGCTTGTCTTCACAGACATTTCCCTAAGTCTGCTTTCATAAATTAAAATGTTCATTCATTCATTCATTCATTCATTCCACATTAAGCGTCTCTGCAGCAGGCACTGGAATGGCTGAGATGAACGACCTGCCATTTCTGTCCCCAGACCCTCACAGTCAAATGAGGGGCCAGCTAAATCCATGTATAATCTCGGGACAGGATGCAAATCGTCTCTCCCAGGTCCAGTGAGCCTGTGACCTCGGAGGTGGGACACATCACGCACTGCGGAGTGTGGGAGGGGTACCTGAGATACTGAGGAGAGGCAGTTGATGGGGAAGGAGAGCATTCTAGGAAGAGGGAGTGGCATTGTTTCATTTGGGGAAGTGGTGAAAAGAGAGGCTTAGAAATGGGCTAGACCAGGAATTATATTACATGTTGAGGAGTTTGGACTTTATCCTAAAATAAAAAGTCCTGGGGTTTTTTTGTGTGTTTTTTTTTTCCTTTTTTTAAATATAAGAGTGACAAGCTTTGTATTTTGTTTTCCTCTCTTTTTTTTTTTTGACCTAAGGAAGTGCATGACAATTTCTATCATCCCCATCCCCACCCCACAGTGCAGATGGCCCCAAGTCTGGGGCTGGACATCCCTGGGTGCCACCTCCTTCTCCACTCCTCCTCCAGCAATGGGGAAGCTGGAGGCTCTGCATGTAGACCTCAGGTTCTTCAAGTGTCAGCTGAATATCTGAGTCCTTATCTTCCTAATTATACCTGGGACTCTTAAACTTCTCACCACTCCTAATGACTTCCATGCAGCCTTGTAAAATAATAGGTTCCACCTATTAACCAGCTGCAATGCACAGTAGCCTCACACCCATCCTGAGGTAGTTTGTCTGGCAACCTCAACTGTACCAAAAGAGAGCTGAGAATAAGAAGATTCCCAAATGTATAAAGTCAATATTACTAAATTAATGCACTAAACAGCGTTGTGATGTACTCAGTTATTCAACCCTTTACTTGAAGGCTGAGTAAAACTTATGTGAAACATAATTTGAACAAGCCTGATATTTTCCATTTTCCGCTCATTCAGGAGGATTAGAAGTGACAGTTGAAAGTGAGGGAAAGACCCACTCCCAGTGAGCAGGCCGGCGAATTCAGAAGGCACAGCACCTGCAGCCGCTGAGGACAGAGACAAAGGTCTCAGTACCTCCCTTTGACCCTGGGGACATTTCTCCCCAGTAGACCAAAAGTTTTCATTGTTCCAATGAAATAACCATTTCAATAGTCATCATGTAAAGGCTACACATATTTGGTTCTCTGTTTAGTTAATAAGGGAGGAACTTGTGCAATACTGCTCAGAAAAACAAATAATAAAATGATTACAATGAAAACATGTTCGTGCATTGTGGGGTACATGGCAGTTGTCTGGAAATGTTATTTTCAATGAACAAAACATATTTGTTTGTAAATGACACTATATGAGGTGATGTAGCCAAAATGGTCTTTCCAGCTAGCTACTTAGGATAACCAAAGGCAATTCTAAACCTTTCCATTTCTGCAATATCAACTTCCCTCCATGGATAACAAAGTGTTTAGAGACGGCTCCTTTTTAAACCTTTTGGACACTAAGGGTGAGTGACACTCAGTGAGGTTGGGACTTACAGGTCTCTCCCGAGACCTGAAAGAAGACATCCATTTCTTCCCTGCCCTTCGGGACTGCATTAGGAATGAATCAGTTAGCTGTCCAGTAACGATTCTTAAATCAAGGTATATATATTCTTAAATCAAGGGTATATGACGAATGAATCCTGTATGCATTAGCAAACAGGGAAGTGAGACAGCCAGCTATTTCTCATGGGAATTCCTGTGCAGATTGTTGCAATGAGTCCCGTTGTGTAAAAAATATATGGTTAGTCACAGTTCTTGCTGGTGTGCAAATTTGTAGGGCTAACACATTTCCAGGGGCAGAGAGCAAGACTGCAGGAATGTCTGTGATATGAATGCAACGCTCCTGGCATGCACAACCTCAGCAGTCTGCAAATTGAGGTGGATGCTTTACTTTGCCCTATTTGCCATTCACCTGCTTTGCTAACCTCCCAGCCAGCTGGCATTTCCACAGCCTCCCTGTTGTCAACTGGAACTGGGGATGTGTTTGGCTTATAACCGATTGTAACTAATTATTAACTCTGCAGGGTAGATTATGGTTTTATGTTAATAGCATTGCAGGAGGCTTTGAGATACCGCAGCTTGATAGGACCTTCTGAGGCTGTTCTGTAGGCTCCCAGGAATGCAAGACCTGCACAGTGGCCCCAGACTGGTACTGACGCGATTTCCTGAGGAGGAAAGACCTTTGCAATGGAGGGCAGGGAGGGCACCCTGCCCTCAGTCTGGCTCCTGATCTAACACCAGGAACCTCAAGTAGCCAAAATCCTTTAGGAGACAAGGTTCAGGTTTCACACAGGCTGTCCTGTTTAGAGCAAATAAACAGCCCATTCGTGTATATTTTGGACCAGGTCTCTGGACTGCCCGGGGGCACCTTGCCACCTGTTGTGCAACCTGCTTGTTGTGGAGAATTAGGGAAGAACAATTCTAGAAAGGGGTCCCAAGTCAGTTAGCTGAGACGGGGTATTGAGAGTCCTTTTGGGATGCACTTCACATGGATTCTGGGAGGTAGGCAGGAGGTTGGGGATAGAAGGTAGGGAGAGATGTGGACAAGAGGACCTAAAGTAAGACAGCTGCCTGCTGTTTGCCCTTGAGCAGCGAATATTCCAGCAGAGGGGACAGTACCCAGGCCCATGGCACCTCTCTAGAGGTCTAAGGGACATGCTTCATCCTTAACTGTTGCCATCAGAAACAGCTTGAGTGAGGCAAGCAGGATTGAACTCTTTCCTAGGAAGCTTGATGCCCTTGAGTGCACATGCCATTTGGGGTATACAGCAAAGATCACTGTCTAGGAATTTTCAACTTGTTCAAAATTTCTATGCATCGCATGTTAATTAATATGAAAGGCACCAGGCTGGTGGTAAGCATTATTGTGAAACTGGTGCACCTTTCAATAGCCTCGGCGCCATGTCTTGTCCATCCGTCTACCCTCCTGGCCACCTCTCCATCCCCTCTCTCTGTTGCTCAGGGTTGCTTCTTCATCTCTTCCAGTAATCCCTCACCTCCAACCAGAGCAAAGCCTGCCCACAAGAAAAAAGCCTAAGCTAAATCCACTCGCACTAATAAGGCCAGTATGTTATCCCTTCCAATAACGTGGGCATGATGATTATATTCATCAAGGGAAAAATGTTTTTTGTTGTTGTTTGAGACAGGGTCTCACTCTATTACCCAGACTGGAGTCCAGTGGTGCCATCACGGCTCCTGCAGCTTTCACCTCCCAGGCCCAAATGATCCTCCTGCCTCAGCCTCCAGAGTAGCTGGGACCATGCCCAGCTACTTTTTAAATTTATTATATAGAGACTGGATTCCACTATGTTGCCCAGGCCGATCTCCAACTCCTGGACTCAAGCAATCCTTCTGCCTCAGCTTCCCAAAGTGCTGGGATCGCATGAGTGAGTCAGCACTCCCAGCTGGAAAGCAGTTTTAAGTCAATGTTATGAGGGAAGTGAAACAAACAACGATTGAGCACCTGTTATGTCCCAGGTATTATGCTGAGCACATGATCCAATTTAACCTTCAAAATCAACTCTACAAGGAGGCAGTTTTATATTCATCTTACCGAGGAGGAAAATGAGAGTAACCTCTCTCAAGGTATATGATGGCTTCAGCCTGAAATGGCTTCTGGAGTGGACAGTAGGTCCTAGGGGTCACCAGAATCTAGGATTATATGGAGGTATCTCAAAGCTAGTACCAGGAAACAGAGCATGCTGAGCAAGTAAGACTTAATAAAGAACCCAGGCATTTCCCCTCAGCTTCGGCCAGAACAGGGCTGCTTGTATGCATTTTCAACATTGGATTCCAGGAAAGCTTCTGTATTAAGAGTTCAATTTGGCCAGGCATGATGTCTCATGCCTGTAATCCCAGCACTTTGGGAGGCTGAGGTGGTGGGATTGCTTTAGCCCAGGAGTTTGAGACGAGCCTGGACAACATTGGGAAACCCCCCTCTCTATTATTATTATTGTTATCATCATCATTATTATTATTATTTTCAAGTTCAGCTTAAGAAAACATTTTGTTTCAAAATAACTTCCTTGGCAAGTGGGATCTTTGGAAGGGATTTAAGCAGGGTGTAACACGTCATATTCACTTTTTGAAATATTGCCCAGAGACTGCATAGAAAATAGATTGAGCCTAGAAACAATTCTCCAGAGGAGAGTCATAGAGGACCTGAACTAGGCAGTAGCAGAGGGATGGAGACAAGAAGACCGCTGTGAGACATGCCAGGGAAGACGGCCTTCTAGACCCTAGTGACTCTAAGCATGGTCTCTGGGCCAACAGCCTCAGCATCTCTCGGGAGATTGTGAGAAATGCGAATTCTCAGGCCCCAACCCAGATCTACTGAATAAAAATCTGCTTGGAAAAGATCGCCAAGGGATCCATATGCTCCTTAAACTTCAGAAGCACTGCTTTCAGACCACTTGCCTGGGAGAGGGATGGAGGAAGGAATGGACGATGACTCTGAGCCTGTGTTCAAGCATTATAAAATGGGTGAGACCTTCTAGAACAACATGGATGAGACCTTTCTTTGAGAAGAGTGCTTTCCCTTCAACAGGTCAGTGGGTATGGCGAGGGCATTCTGGTGCCATGACCTCTCCCTAAACAGCTGACAATCACCGCATAGTTTGTTGTTAAAGTGCCATTTGCTTTCTCTTATTATACAGCAGGTCTTCAAATAATGTTACAATGTTGATGAGGAAAAAAAAAATGGATTCCTGGCCAAGGCCACTATCTGTGTGGAGTTTGCAAGCTCTCCCCACATCTGTGTGGGTTTTCTCCAGGTGATCCAGTTTCCTCCCACTTCCCAAATCTGTGCCTGTTAGGTAAATTGGCATGTCCACACTGCCCCGGTGTGAGGGAGTGTGGGCGTGTGTGTGAGGTGTGAGTGTGCCCTGTGATGGGATGGCACCTTATCCAGGTCTGGTTCCTGCCTTTTGCCATGAGCTGCTGGGACAGGGCCCAGCCACCTGCAACCCTGAACTGGAAGAAGCAAGTAAATAATTATCTTACTTAATTTTATCACTCTTTCTTAAATGTATGTGTAGCCCACACTTATTTCTATGTTTAATATAAAAAGTGTTTTGCTCTAAACATAACTCTGTTTTATATCAATTAGCCTAAGTTCAAATTGGTTTCATTGTACCTTCTATGTCATTTCACTTAGTCACAGTTCCCGAGAACCCATCATTAAGGAGGGACTTACTGTACTCTCCTTTTCTCTGTTGGTGTGGATTTCTTCAAGGATCCAGGATCACCTTCCCCACTTTTGGCTATCCTAATGAACTGGCCCACTGTAAACCTTTTATACCTGGGCTATTCTTTTTTTTTTTTTTTTTTTTTTTTTGAGACGGAGTCTTGCTCTGTCGCCCAGGCTGGAGTGCAGTGGTGCCGTCTCGGCTCACTGCAAGCTCCGACTCCCGGGTTCCGGCCATTCTCTTGCCTCAGTCTCCCGAGTAGCTGGGACTACAGGCGCCCGCCAGCACGCCCGGCTAATTTTTTTTGTATTTTTTAGTAGAGACGGGGTTTCACCGTGTTAGCCAGGATGGTCTTGATCTCCTGACCTCGTGATCTGCCCGCCTCGGCCTCCGGAAGTGCTGGGATTACAGGTGTGAGCCACTGCGCCCGGCCTGCCTGGGCTATTCTTAACTTTCTTTTTCTCTCCCCCAACACTTTCTTGTCTAATATTTTATTCTTTGTGGGTTTGCTAATTTAAGCTAAAATACTGGTGGCTAATAAGGCTCATATATTTCATCTCTTCAAATAAAGATTTTAGTATTAAAAGAGACTGTTCCTGGGCCAGGCGCAGTGGCCCATGCCTGTAATCCTAGCACTTTGGGAGGCCAAGGCAGGAGGATCATTGGAGGTCAGGAGATCAAGACCAGCCTGGCCAACATGGTAAAACCCTGTCTTTACTAAAAATACAACAATTAGCCAGGTGTGATGGTGCATGCCTGTAATCCCAGCTACTCTGGAGGCTGAGGCAGGAGAATTGCTTGAACCCGGGAGGCGGAGGTTGCAGTGAGCCAAGATCATTGTATTCCAGTCTGGGCAACAGAGTGAGACTCCAACTCAAAAAAAAAAAAAAGAGAGAGAGAGAGAGAGAGAGACTGTTCCTTAACTCAAGGACATCAGAGATGGGACTGTTTTAAGCATCCAGTCAATGAGGAAATATTCAGAGGCACAGGGTCTTTAAGACCCTCTCAGCTAGATGACATTTTCTCCTGTTGCTGTTCTGCATGTAACTGTGCTTGATCTCAAGAAACGATGTTCACTCCTATCTGCTTGTGTTTTCTTTCTTTTCTTTCTTTCTTTCTTTTTCTTTCTTTCTTTCTTTCTTTCTTTCTTTCTTTCTTTCTTTCTTTCTTTCCTTTCCTTTCCTTCCTTCCTTCCTTCCTTCCTTCCTTCCTTCCTTCCTTCCTTCCTTCCTTCCTTCCTTTCTTTCTTTCTTTCTTTCTTTCTTTCCTTCTTTCTTTCTTCCTTCCTTCCTTCCTTCCTTTCCTCTTTCTTTCTTTCTTTCTTTCTTTCTTTCTTTCTTTCTTTCTCTCTTTCTTTCTCTCTTTGTTTTCTTTTCTTTTTTTTTTTTATAGGGTTTCACTTTGTTACCCAGCCTGGAGTGCAGTGGTGCAATCTAAGCTCACTGCAAACTTTGCCTCCATGGGATCAAGTGATCCTCCTGCCTTAGCCTCCTGAGTAGTTCGGACTACAGACATGAGACACCAAGCTCAGCTAATTTTTTTTTTTTTTTTTTTTTGGTAGAGATGAGGTCTCACTATGTTGCCCAGGCTGGTCTAGAACTCCCGGGCTCTGGCAATCAGCCTGCCCCAGCTCCCCAACAAGCTGGGGATGAGATGGGCATGAGCCACCACACCCAGCCCTGCTTGTTTTTGCCTCTAGTGCTCTCTCTCTGCCTGGAATGCAATTCCCCAGCTCCCCTGCCACCTCAGGCTGAGTTGGGTACCCCCACCTGTGTGGTCTCCTTGGGCATCCCCCCCTCATAGCCTGTTATCATGCTGCACTCTAATTGTTGGTTTACATGTCCCTCCCACACTTGATTCAGAGTCTTTTCATCTTTATACCCTCAAAGCATATCAGAGTGCCTTGCTCATACCAGAGGCATAATAAATATTTGTTAAATGAGTCAACGAAAGACTATGTGGCTGTGGACGAGGCTGGCTTTGAGTGTAGGCTGGGATGGGGGAGTTGGAACAGTAGTGTCTGTAGCAGTAAGAGGCGGAATTAGAACTCACGAACATCTAGACATATAATGAGGTCAGGAGCTACTCTGCATTCTGCATGGGTCTTTGCATATCTCTGAATTACTTATAATACACTACCGGGCCCTTCTGATGAAGTGTAAGCTAGAAAATTCCTCCCCACCTTAACTTTATGGGCAAGCATTGAAACCTGCCCAGTGTTATTCTCACTGAAAGGCTCATACAGCAGTGACTGTAAAGTGGGTTTGGTCACTTATTTTTACTTTTATGAGTGTTTTATTTTCAGTTGTAATAGTAATCTTAGTAAGCTTTTACTTAGTGTACACTAAGATCCCAACAAACAATAGATTTGCCCTTAGCCTACGTCCACTCCCCAACCTCTGTTTGCTGAGGGATTCTCAGCCTTAAGAAAGGATGCACTCCTACACAGTCTACCTACCCTCTAATAAATGCCAAGACAATGCAAGGGAAGTAAAAAATACCAAAGTGAGAAAATACTGCTATTGTAGCTTGAAGCTTAGAGGGTACATTCCTCCCTACCTTAACTTAAATACTCTTTCCACAGAAGCAAGAAACAAAGACAGATCCCTGAAAACCAAGAGTAATAGAGAAAGTGTTTACATGAATGGACACAGGGGCATGTTTTGTTCTTTCTCAGCGATCCTTTGTTGTTGCAGAGACTATATATGATCCTGATGGGCAAGAGGGCCTAGTGATTTGTCTTTTCATTCTCCTCCACTAATGATCCTCTGAACAGTCTACTGATCACATTTCCTTGCCCTTCATTCTTTTTAAAAAGACCTTTGAAATTTAGTTCTCACTCTCCATACTCCCAATCCACCCATGGCCATTGCTCTTCCTTATGTCAGCTCTCTGCTTTCCCACATCACCTCCTAAAATGCCATTTCTGTATTTTGTTTTGAGAAAGCTATACTTGTATCTGATAGTTATGAAGTCATGTGTAATTACACTTTTATCTTTTCTGGTCATTACCACATATATATACCATATAAGAACACTGAAAGTAGTCACTCTGAAAATGAACCTCAAATTTATTTTCATGCCATGGAAACCAATGTTTCCAGAAATCATAAGTAAGTCACCCACATGGATCAAGATCATGTTTCTTACTCCCCAGCAGAAGGACTATAGCTGGCCCCTCTTACAACATTGGGGAGGGGTGCCCCAATTTCATGCTATAATCACCAGAATTTGATAGGATGCACATGGCTAAGACAGAGACAATCTGAAGATGCATGGAGATCCTGGAAATGATGCTTGCTGAAAGAAGGGAGGCATCTAGACATGCTTTGCCTCATTCACAACATTTCTATTTTAAAAATTAATATTTTAACTTTTATTTTAGGTTCAGGGGTATATGTGCAGGTTTGTTATATGGGTCAACTTGTAACTTGGAGATCTGGTATACAGATTATTTGATCACCTGGGTACTAAGCATAGTACCTAGCAGTTTATTTTTTTCCCTGAACCTCTCCTTCTCCTCACCCTCCTCCCACAAGCAGGCCCCAGTGTCTGTTGTTCACCTCGTTCTGTCCATGTGTATTAGTTCATTCTTACACTGCTATAAAAAAAAGTACCTGAGACTGGGTAATTTATAAAGAAAAGAGGTTTAATTGGCTCACGGTTCTGCAGGCTGAACAGGAAGCATGGCTGCGGAGTCTCAGGAAACTTACAATCATGGTGGAAGGTGAAGGGGAAGCAGGTGCATCTTACATGGTTGGAGCAGGAGGAAGAGAATGAAGAGGGAGGTCCTATACACTTTTAAACAACCAGATCTTGTGAGAACTCACTCACTATATGAAAACTGCAAGGAGGAAATCCACCCCCATGATTCAGTTACCTCTCACCAGGCCCCTCCTCCAACAATGGGGAGTACACTTTGACATGAGATTTGGGCGGAGACAAAAATCCAAACCATATCATTCTGCCTCTGCCCCTCCCAAATCTCCTGTTCTCACATTGCAAAATACAATTATTCCTTCTCAACAGTCCCCCAAGTCTTAACTCATTCTAGCATTAACTCAAAAGTCCATAGTCCAAAGTCTCACCTGAAATGAGGCAAGTTCCTTCAGACTATGAGCCTGTAAAATCAAAAGAAGATTAGTTACTTCTAAGATACAATGATGGTACAGGCATTGGGTAAATATACCAATTCCAATAGGGAGAAATCAGGCAAAACAAAGGGGCTGCAGGCCCTATGCAGGTCTGAAATTCAGCAGGACAGTCATTAAATCTTAAAGCCCCAAAATAATCTCCTTTTACTCCATGTCTCACATCCAGGCAACTCTGATGCAAGGAGTGGGCTCCCAAGGCCTTAGGCATCTCTGCCCCTGTGGCTCTTTAGGGTACAGCCCCCTTGGCTGCTTTCATGGGCTGGTGTTGTGTGCCTGTGGCTTTTCCAGGTACATGGTGCAAGCTGTTGATGGATCTACCATTCCAGGGTCTGGAGGTTGGTGACTCTCTTCTCACAGCTCCACTAGGCAGGGCCCCAGTGAGCACTCTGTGTGGGAGCTCCAACCCCACATTTCCCCTCCACACTGCCCTAGTAGAGGTTCTCCATGAGGGCTCTGCCCCTGCAGCAGACGTCTGCCTGGACATCCAGGCATTTCCATACATCCTTTGAAATCTAGGCAGAGGCTACGAAGCCTCAACACTTGTCCTCTGTGCACATGCAGGCTTAATACCATGTGGAAGCTGCCGAGGCTTATGGCTTACATCTTCTGGAGCAGCAGCCTGAGACATATCTGGGGCCCTTTTAGCCATGGCTGGAGCTGGAGTGTCTGGGACACAGGGAGCAGTGTTCTGAGGTAATGCAGGGCATTAGGGCCCTGGGCCCAGCCTGCAAAACTATTCTTCCCTGCTAGGCCTCCAGACCTGTGATGGGAGGGTCTGCTGTGAAGGTTTCTGAAATGCCTTCAAGGCATTTCCCCCATTGTCTTGACTATTAACATTTGGCTTCTCTTTAGCTATGCAAATTTCTGCAGCTGGCTTGAATTCCTCCCCAGAAAATAGGTTTTTCTTTTCTACAACATGGCTGGGCTGCAAATTTACCAAACTTTTATGCTCTGCTTCCCTTTTAAATGTAAGTTCCAGTTTCAGATCATCTCTTGTTTGCTCACAAATATAAGCATATGCTGTTAGAAGCAGCCAGGCCACATCTTGAAGGCCACATCTTGAATGCTTTGCTACTTAGAAATTTCTTCTACCAGAAACCCTAAATAATCATTCTCAAGTTCAAAGTTCCACAGATCTCTAGGACAGGGGCACAATGTCTCTAGTCTCTGCTAAAGCATAGCAAGAGTGACCTTTACTCCAGTTCTCAATAAGATCCTCATCTCCATCTGAGACCACCTCAGCCTAGCCTTCACTGTTCATATCACTATCAGCATTTTGGTCACAATAATTTAACAAGTCTCTAGGACTTCCAAACTTTCCCTCATCTTCTTGTCTTTTTCTGAGCCCTTCAAACTGTTCTAACCTCTGCTCACTACCCAGTTTCAAAGCTGCTTCTACATTTTCAGATATCTTTATGGCAATATCACACTCCCAGTACCATTTTTCTGTATTAGTCCATTCTCTCATTACTATAAAGAACTACGTGAGACTGGGTAATTTATAAAGAGAAAAGGTTTAATTGGCTCATATTTCTGCAGACTGTACAGGAGGCATGGCTACAGAGGCCTCAGGAAACTTACAATCATGGTGGACGGTGAAGGGTGAAAGGGAAGCCACAATGTCCTACATGGCTGGAGCAGGAGGAAGAGAGTGAAGGAGGAAGTGCTACACACTTTTAAATGACCAGATCTTGTGAGAACTCACTCACTATCATGAGAACAGCAAAGGGGAAATCACCCCCACAATTCAATCACCTCTCATCAGGCCCCTCCTCCAATACTGGGGATTAAAATTCATCATTAGATTTGGGTGGGGACACAGATCCAAACCATAGCACCATATGTTCTCATTATTTATCTCCCACATGTAAGTGAGAATATTCGGTATTGGGTTTTCAGTTCCTGTGTTAGATTGCTAAGGATAATGGCCTCCAGCTTCATCCATGTTCCTGCAAAGGACATGATTTCACTCTTTTTGTGGCTGCATAGTATTCCATGGTGTATATGTACCACATTTTTGTTATCCAGCCTACCATTGATGGGCATTTAGGTTGATTCCATGTCTTTGCTATTGTAAATAGTACTGCGATGAACATATGCATGCATGTGTCTTTATGGTAGAATGACTTATATTCCTTTGGGTATATACCCAGTAATGGGATTTCTGGGTTGAATGGTAGTTTTGTTTTTTGTTTTTTGAGGAATTGCCACAATGTTTCCCACAACATTGGACTAATTTAAACTACCACCAGCAGTGTATAAGAGTTCCCTTTTCTCTGCAACGTTGCCGGCATCTGTTATTTTTTGACTTTTTAGTAATAGCCATTCTGATTGGTGTTAGATGGTATTTCATTGTGGTTTTTGATTTGGATTTTTCTAATTATTAGTGATAATTAACATTTTTCCATATGCTTATTGGCTGCATGTACGTCTTCTTTTGAAAAGTGTCTGTTCGCATTCTTTGTCCACTTTTATGTTTGGTTTTTTGTTTTTGTTTTTTGTTTTTGGTCTTGCTCTGACACCCAGGTTGGAGTGCAGTGATGCGATCTCGGCTCACTGTAACCTCTGCTTCCCGGGTTGAAGCGATTCTCCTGCCTCATCCTCCTGAGTAGCTGGGATTACAGGTGTGCCACATGCCTGGCTAATTTTTTTGTATTTTTAGCAGACACAGGGTTTTACCATGTTGCCCAGGCTGGTCTCAAACTCCTGGCCTCATGTGATCTACCTGCCTCGGCCTCTCAAAGTGCTGGGATTACAGGTGTGAGCCATCGTGCCTGTCCCTTTGTCCACTTTTTAATGTGGTTGTGCAACATTTCTTGGGGCCAGTTCCAACTTCAGTTATGCAGCCTTTGGCTCAAGAGCCTTCACAGGATTTCCTTTGGCATTTGCTGCATTTTTGCCAATTCCCACAATATTGTTTGAACTGTAACAGTTTTTCCTTGTTTCTTTCTTTTTTCACCAACTGGGATCTAAGATTGACTTACAGAAGCAAGGTATGTCTGAAACGATTAATATTTCTCTAAGTCTCTATGTGCATCAAGATTTGTAACCTATTGTGAACTTGTGTAACAACCATTTAATCAGTGCAATTGATCAAAGTAGCTTTCTACACAAAAGTGGGTACCTGGCTATCATGTAATCATGAAAAAGCAACAACTCTGAATTTTATTATATTATATTTATGTGCTCCATTTATTATGGTGTTGCCCTCCAAAATGAAATTACATACCCAAATTAAAAATGCACTAAAATATTTTAGTGACAAGAAAATATTTTTCTTTTTTAATATCTGCAGAATGGGCACAAACATATTATACTGGGAATATTTCATTTCATTTTTAAAAAATCATAGAGGCAACATTATGCATTTAGACTCATATTGCAAAGAGCATTATTATTTGCTCTATTTTGACTCCTTTATATTTTCCTTTCTTTTTAAAAGAATATGCGTGTGTGTGTGTGTTTGTGTTGTTTTACTGTCTGGAAGATGACAAACTGTATACTTTAGTGACATAAATTACCTGAACAATTTACTGTAGATGCTCCTGGCAGAAAAGGCCACGTCACTCTTGTGTTTCCTTCTTTGCTGCTGTGAGAACGCTATGTTCCCTGGAGAGCCTGGTGAGGCCTGTCTGGGCTAAATTCTTTTCACATGCATGGTTCACTGCTTGAATACCCAAGAGGCAGAGCTTACTCTCTCACTCTCTGTCTGAGAATGGGTTTACCATTCTTGTGATTGCCCCTTGCATTCTGCTTTTCTGCCTCCAGTAATGTTTGGTATTTGATAATTTAGGGAAAAAGGACCACCAGCTATGCACTTGGACAATTATGAAATAAATGCTGTTTAGGGCATGCAAAGGTTTTATAAATTCTAGCCGGTGATCAGCTCCCAACCCAACGAATGCATTTCAATTGTGTTTATCTTTGCTTGCATATCTAGAAACAAGACATAAACACAGTTATCAACCATTTGGCACCTTTTAAATGGACACAATCATCCACTGTCTAACTTGTAGTGCTATTAAAGTTTGATGTGCAGTTGTAAGAAGCTCTGTTGTCTTCCTTTAATGGCACCAAATCAGGTACAGTCAAATGTTTGCAGACAAGATGCCAGCCAAACCTTAAAGCTGCAAAGGCTCAATCTACCTGGCCAGAAAGTGGTGGCCCCACCCGTTTCTCTATATGCATCCTAATTGTCTCTTTCATAAGTCTCCTGGAGGGCATGTGTATGAATACATTAAACATGTCTAGAAGATAATAAGTGGGGTTTAAGTAGTCTCAACTTTAGCCTTTTTGACTCAAAATATCCCAGACCTGGCAATGGAATGAGCGGGATTATCTGCCTTTTTGTTTCACGGCAGTCCAGTCATTCTGAATGTTACCTTTGGTGTTGCTCAAACACCAGGCATTTCACATGCCCTCAGCTAACAGAATAGCTGAGTATGACTGTCAGTTTCTCCCTTAGGTGGTCACTCAGTCCCAAATTTCCCATTTCTATGACTAATACCAGCATATTTAATATGACGTTGAACACCTTGACCTCCTTTATCTTCTCTTTCTCATGTTCATTACTACCATTACTAATTGTACCTGCTTACTACCACCCACAATTTGGTACATGTCTGGATTGGGAAAGCAGCCTCCTAATCATTTCTGTACATCCAGCTTTCCTCTCTGCTTTCTGCACAGCTGCCAGAACAAGCTCCTGCATATGCTGTTTGTAGCACATCCAGCGATTCATTACCAAAAACTAGAGCCTATTACTTAAGGTCTCCAACAACTGGTTTTCTTTTTAACTTCTCTCTTTCCCCTGTTATTTTCTCCTTTCTGTATCCAACTCAGTGTGCTTTCACCTCACTTCATAAGTGTTGCAAGATGTTTGCCCTTACATTTTTGCATGAATCTTTGCACCAGTCTGGGTGTTCGCTTGTCTTTTCTCTCTGCATCTCTCAAGACCTGAGCTCATCATCCACGAAACCACTCTCCTTTAATTAGGCTACCATTCTGATTACTTCTTCATTTTGCTTTCCTTGTCCCCTGTAAGTTTTTAGTCTATTGAAATTTGAGTCAAAATTAAGTAATTTTGAACCCAACGATGTTTTGTTTTATAATTATTCACAGCATGCTTCCAGTGCATTTGGAATGTACCTCAACCAAACTTTGGAATATACCTCCACCATATACATGATTAAAAACTTCTTAAAGTCACAGAATATGTCATCTACTGTTTTTTATACTACCCATATACCATGCTTCTATTCAGCCTTCGTGCAACAAATGCTCATGAGCATATAGGGGCTGCAGATACAGCAGGAGTGAGAAAGATAGGACTAGTTCTTGCCCTCAAGAGCTAGTGGGGAGTGGGCTCATCCAATTAATATCTCTGAGACACAAAGGGAATATTAGGCATGTGATTTCCAAAGGAACAAAAAGAGCATGTGCGATAACTTCACAAGCAGGAGCCAAAACAAATTCTGCATCATACCTAATGGCAAGAGAAATGAGAAAATTGCATCCAAGTATTTATTTTGAACAGCTGTGGGATGCAACAGTACAATTAGAAAATCACATGTCAGGCACTGGACACAGGCATCTGCCAGATTCTGTTGTCCTCCTATAGCCTCTCAAAATAGTAGGACCAGCGTCTGAGGGGTGTGGGGGCTGAAAATACTCTACATTTTGATCTGGGTTGTGGCTACATGGGTGTGTATATATGCAAAAAGTCAAGCCAGGTGCGATGGCATAAACCTGTAGTTCCAGCTAGGTTGCCCAGGCCGGTCTTGAACTCTTGGGCTCAAGGATCCCTTGAGGATCACTTCAGCCCAAGCGTTCAAGACCGGCCTGGGCAACATAGTAAGACCTCATCTCAAAAACAAGCAATCAAACAAATTCATCAAACTGTACCAATGTTATACCTCAACAAAAACTTTTTTAGGTTGAAAAAAAATGGTAAGAAGGGAAAAAAGCACACACTTTGCTTTGGCCATGCCTTCTTATTTATTTTTATTTTTATTTTGTGGGCATGAAGTGAGCATGAAGCCATCTGAATGAATTCTTGTCTCCTCCTGGGCATGTGAGCCTTGGGGTGAGTCAGCGAGTCTTAGAATGCTGAAGGGTTGGTATAAAGCAACCTTCAACCTGAAGAACAATAAACTCTGGCTATACCTTAGAACCACTTGGATGGAGCATCTCAAAAGAAATACCATTGCGTGATCCCCCATCCTCAGAGATCAGATTCAGCTGGTCTGGGATGGGGCCCTGTATCAGTATTTAGAAAAGATGCCACAGGTGTTTTTAATATGCAGTGAGAAATCCAAACCCCTAGTGAGCTCCATTCCCTCTATATAGAGTTAAGGAAATGGAACGTCACAATGGTTAAGTGATTTGCCGACGGCGATGCCGCTGGGTGCTCATCTCACCGTCTAGGGAGGATGTCCAGTCTACCCATGCCTGGAAGAACCACTGGCCTGACGTTACAAAAGAGGAAGTGATCCAAGCCTAGAATCAAATTCAGATGTTCTGATTCTTAACCTCTAGTTTGTTTCACTTCATCTCCCTCAAACGGAGGCATTATTATTGCTAAGAGATTTTGAAATAAAAATTGCAGCTATTGCTTTAAGCTAACTTTGAACTTGTTAAAGCAAGCCCACTGACTGGAAACATTAGAAAGAAACCAGGAGGGTGAAATTTACTCTTTCTGTTTTGTTTTGTTTTGCTTGAGACAAAGTCTCCCTCTATTGCCCAGGCTGGGACCCCAGGCATGTGATGCACCACCACATCTGGCTTTTTTTGTTTGTTTGTTTGTTTTTTAAGACAGAGTCTCACTTTGTCACCCAGGCTGAAGTGCAGTGGTACAATCTCAGCTCACTGCAACCTCCAACTCCCGGTTCAAGTGGTTCTCATGCCTCAGCCTCCTGAGTAGCTGGGATTACAGGCATGTACCACCACGACCAACTAATTTTTTCTATTTTTAGTAGAGATGGGGTTTCACTATGTTGGCCAGGCTGGTCGCAAACTCCTGTCCGCAAGTGATCTGCCTGCCTTGGCCCCCCAAATTGCTGGGATTACAAGTGTGAGCCACTGCACCTGGCTTAAAAAAAGAATTTGTAGAGACGGGATCTCACTATATTGCCCAGGCTGGTCTCAAACTCCTGGGCTCAAGTGATCCTCCCACCTTGGCCTCCCAAATTGTTGGGATTATGGACATGAGCCACCGCACCTGGCCAGTTTTTTCTTGATATGAATAAACAATGTTGATGACCCTCCCGGGCCCTATTCCCCATTCCCTTCTTCCCCAGTCTGTCCCTGTCTCCCCGTTGAGAAAATCTGTCACTTGGGTTAATACTTCTGACTCAACAGACTTCATGGCATCGCTCTGGCGCACTTCCACATTAAAATTTATAATAATTCAAGATTCCAGAAAAATGAGCAAAAAATTAGTCAGAAAAAGACTAGTGAAGAAACTGATGTATCTTAAAACATCCATTTGAGAAAAGGCTTCATCAGATCTTTGCAAGCTGGCTTAAGACTTTAAGACCGCTAGGCAATATACGCACTGCCCAATTGACTTGCCCTTAGGCCTCTCTGTAATGATAACTTGAAACCTATGTGCAACTTGTAAGACATTGAATAAATGTCTGTTTTAATGGCCTCTTTTCTGTCCACAGGAAATTTATTAGTGAGATCACCATTTAGAAGCAAATGTAAACAACCTTCTCAGAAATCTCTCAACCAAATGCACTGAACATAGCTCATTTGCTTACTGCTTTTTATCATTTTCTTTTTTTTTTTTTGAGATAATCAGGGACATTTCTGCATTCATATGTGATGACTTTTTAAAAAATATCACTTTGGGTCTGGAGAGTCATATAAGTTTTAGCTGGATGATCATTCTGTTTTTAAAAAAAGGACACAGTATATTCACATAAAAAAAGGAAAGTACATCTATAAGGTTCCGTGTCAATATGGTTGGATAATAGTACATAGATAAGAGATTCGTTTAGACTAGACCTAACCTTATTTCAGGGTTGGCCAACATGGGAATTAAGTTACAGTAGAGCCCTGGTGCTGAATAATACTCCAAATACAGCTCTGGTCTGTTGTAGAGAAGCGATACCATGGAGAATATTTCTCTATGTGCCCTCATCCTTCCTTTCTGACTTAGAGGAACAGTTGTTTCACTTTCCTTTCCAAAGCTAGACTTCTCATTTTTATTCTCTATCCTCTTGCCATCCTGCCTCCTCCAGGAACTTGTTATCTCATTCATCTCCTTTCTTTATCCTCTTCAATTTTTTTACCTCCGTTGAGGCTTTAATCTCTGCTGAAGACCTGAACAATCTACTTTTCTTTGAAGAAAAAGAAAACAAACAGAAACACATACCAAATTGATAAGCTGATGGGTGATCGTGGTGACCCTTCAAGCTTTCATTCATTTAATCCCTTTCATTTGATCCCAAATATCTAAACCAACTTGTCCAAGCTCTCTGAGTTCTCCACATCCTTTCCTATCAGTGACTGCTCTTTTCTTAAAATTCTCTTTTCTCTTAGTCTCTGGATCATGTCACAATTCTGGTTCTCATCCTTCCCTTGACTACTTTACATTTTCTTTATTGGCATTTTCTTCTCTTCCCACCTCCTAAATGCAAAGATCACTCTTTTGTCTCTTTTAATAGAGATGAGCTCTCACTCTGTCATCCAGGCTGTAATGCAGTGGCACAATCAGAGCTCATTGCAGCCTTGGACTCCTGGGCTCAAGCGATCCTCTTGCCTCAGCCTCTGGAGTAACTGGGACTATAGGCACATGCCACATGCTAGCTAAGTTTTCTTTTAATTTGTAGAGATGAGATCTCACTCTATTGCCCAGTCTAGTCTCAAAATCTTGGCCTTAAGCGATCGTCCTGCCTTGGCTTCCCAAAATGCTCGGATAACAGCTGTGAGCCACCACCTCTGGCCCAGGGATCACCCTAGATTTTACTTTTGTCTTTTTACATACTCTTCACCCAAGAACTCATTCATTCTCATAATTTCTACTGTCCTCTCTTAGTGGCATGACTTTCAAGACTGTCTCTAGTCCTGACAGCCCTTCCCAAGAGCTAATCTCACTTCTTCAATCATCTTTTAAATACTTTATTCAAATGATCCTCTGCTTCCTGCCAGAATTCACAAACTCCTGCCCCATATAGTAGCTCCTTAAAATCTTCATTTTGGCAAATGGTGCTATCTTTCTTCCAGGCAGCTAGGCTCAGAATCCTTGAGGCATCTTGCTCTCTAGTCTTGCTTGACTTCTCTGACCAATTAATCGCCTGTCAATTATTCATTTTTCTAAAACCTTGCTTTCATTTTCCTTTTATTTCAACTTTCACTGTATGATACCAAATTCTGACCCTTATCACATATGGTCAGTACTATTGTAGTGATCTCCTTGCTGATCCTATTGTCTACAGCTCTTACCTATTCATACATTTTAGACAACACAGCTGAGCTGTTCTTGAACATTGTCATTTGTATACTGTCCCTTCAGTTGAATTGGGAACACAGAAAAGCTTTAAACCAAATGCACACATTTCAGATATTCAACAAATGTTTGTTCATCCACTTATTCATTCATCCAAGCAATATTTGTAAAGTTGCCAGCTGTTTGACAAACTCTGTTAGGTGCTGGAGTATACATGTGAATAAAATGTGGTCCATGAGCATAAATGCTCTTGTGTTTTCCTTGCTGAATAAATGAACATAAGGAGGAAGGCAAAACAAGTGTCCAGGGATATGGTACTATTTGAGCAGTGTTGGGAAAGCATGAGTTTTGCATGCTTTCCCAACACCATGAGGTGTTAGTTTGAATCTAAGGATCGTATTGTACCAGTTCCATGACTGCAGTCTATCAAGCAAGAATGTTTATTAGTTGGGGTTCTTTAAGAAGCAGAAGCCAAGATAACAGATTTATTGGAGGAAGAACTCATGAAGGTTAAAGAAAGAAGGAGGAGTAGGTAGGGAGCCCCTTAGGCCATGATGTTGGTCTGACCCCTATGAAGGGAAGAAAGAAGGAAGAAGTTTTGGCTAAGGGCACTCTCAGATTCCAGAGCAGTTGCAGGAATGTTTTGGCCAGGTTGATGGGAGTCCTCCAGCCAAAGTGCAAGAAGACCTGCATCTCACAGGAATGGCATCTGTGCTCAGCCACTGGGAAAGAGCAGTTTGGAGGAAGTGTGGTTCTGACAAGGAGGTTGGGGATCCAGAAGTTAGCGGCTGGGCCAGCATTCAGGTGAGCTCCCTGCAGCAGGACACCTGAGCAACACACCATGCATTTGACTGATACCAACAGAAAATTCAGCTGACACTTGCCACAATAAAGAGTTAACAAACTTTCTCTGTAAAGGGGCAGATAGTAAATCTTTTAGGCTCTGTGGGCCTTGTAACTCTTGCAGCCCAAGAGATACCATTGACATGAATGAATAGGCCTGATTGTATTCCAATAAAACTTTATTTACAAAAACAGACAGCGGGCCAGAATTTGCCTGTGGGGCATAGTTTGCTGACACCTAGTTTAAGTGAATAAGGTGTTGTTTTCCTTACACAATGGGATGTCTGGAGGTAAGAGAGTGTAGGTGAAACTTCAGTGGCTCAATATGACATAAGACTTCCTTCTATACTTTTGCTTATGTATTCTCAGCATTTCTAAAGACAGGAATGACTCCTCTGATGCCTGTCCCTTATTTAAGAAGCCAAATTATTCCCCTCAAATCCCCTAGCATTAAAGAACTAATTAATTAATTGGTGAAATATTTATTGAGAAGCTATTACAGGCCAGGTATTTTTCTAAGTGCTCCGGCAGCACTTAGAATTTTTAACAGAACAGAAAAAAATCTTCGTTGAAATGAAAGTGACACTCTAGTGGGAAGGGGGAGAAAGACGGTAAACAACATAAATAGTGAAAAATGTAGTAGTAGATGATGATAGATGCTATAGACAAAATAAATCCAGGAAGAAGGGAGGCTGTTCCAGGTGGTGGTAGCGGGGAGAGGTTCCTTTTTTAATGGAATGAAAAGCTGTTACTGAGAAGGTGACATTGGAATAAAGACAAGAAGGTGTTAAGAGTAAACCATGCAAATAAATTGGGCAAATATTTTCCTGGGAGGAGGACAGTGTATCAAATGCAAAGGTCTGATGCAAGGAGATTAGCGTAGCTGAAGCAGAGGGAGCTGGGGCATGGGAGAGGAGAAAGTGAGGGGCCAGGTCCTGTAGAGCCTTCTGAGCTTCTGAATGATTTTGGCTTCTACTTTGAGTGAGATGAGAAGCCATGAGACTGTTGTGAGCAGAGAAGGGACACCATCTGATTTACATTTAACAGACTCACTCTGGGTACTGTGCTGAGACCATGTGGAAGGGAGTGGCAGGATGGAAACGTGGAGACCCATTAGGAGGCTTCTAAGCTAGAAATGCTGGTGACTTGGACCAGTATGGCAGCAGTAGAGCTAGCAGAGACCAAGGATTGATTGATGATATAGAACAAGCTGCTGCCCAGTCTGGTCTCAAATACCGGTCCACAGCCTGCATGTGGCCCAGGATGGCTTTGAATGCAGCCCAACACAAATTCATAAGCTTTCTTAAAATATTATGGGATGTTTTTGTGATTTTTAAAAACTCTTCAGCCATTGTTAGTGTGTTTATGAGTGACCAGAGACAATGCTTATTCCAATGTGGCCCAGGGAAGCCAAAAGATTGGATACTCTTGATACAGAGTGTGAGAGAAAGAGGGGCAAGGGTGGCTGAGTTTGCAGTTCTGTGCACCTGGAGCAATGAGTTGCTCTTTACTTGCATGACAAGAACGAACAGAGGCAGCTATAGCCAGGAAGTACAGGAGAACAGAAGTGGATATGTTAGGCTGAGATTCTTAGTAGCTACCCAAATAGGGATGTTGAGTAGGCAGTTGGATACTTAAGTTCTGATATAGACTAGAAGTCCAGGCCGTAGATGTAAATTTGGGATTATTCTGCATACATATATATGTCATTAGCTAGAACTTTGTCATGTAGTCAGGCCATCTACAGCTGCAAAGAAGGCAGAAAAGGAGAATATGTACCATCTCCAACTTCCATCGAGAAAGGCAGCAGACAGAAAAGGATGGGAAGGTCTGCTGGGTCATTCAACCAACAATGTCTGTATTACCTAACTTCTCAGCTCTTCCTGTACAAAATAAGAATAATAAAGTCTACTTTATAT
Organism: Homo sapiens; assembly: GCF_000001405.40. Taxonomy (NCBI): domain Eukaryota; kingdom Metazoa; phylum Chordata; class Mammalia; order Primates; family Hominidae; genus Homo; species Homo sapiens. The sequence goes on from NC_000006.12 coordinate 12,363,296, forward strand.
GATTATGGTCAAAATTACATGAGATAAGCTATAGAAACAGGCCAGGAGCCATGGCTCACGCCTATAATCCCAACACGTTGGGAGGCCGAGATAGGCAGATCACCTAAGGTTAAGAGTTCGAGACCAACCTGACCAACATGGTGAAACCCTGTTGCTACTAAAAATACAAAATTAGCGGGGCGTGGTGGCACATGCCTGTAATCCCAGCTACTCTGGAGGCTGAGGCAGGAGAATTGCTTGAACCCAGGAGGTAGAGGTTGCAGTGAATGGAGATCACACCATTGCACTCCAGCCTGGGCAACAAGAGTGAAACTCCATCTCAAAAAAAAAAAAAAAAAAAAAAAAATAGGAAAGAAACATAGCTCCTGTTATAATAGGACCTTTAAATATAGAAGTTCCCCTTTCTTTCCTTTCTGTGACCTGAGATGTCATGGAAAGTCCTTCATTAGCTCACCCCATATATTTATTTTTGGACTTCCTCATTGAACAAAATGATGACACTGCTATTTTTATAATCACTACTGCCGCAAAAAACAGGAACTTTTTCTTGTCCCCCAAAACCACAGATTTTCCAGAGCCTCACTGGTCAAGCTGGGCTCTTGCTTCTCAGTCCCACTTTCTTCTTATCTCAGGGGTTCTGTTTTTAATTTGACATTTCAGTTTCTGTGCATAACCATGGTAGAAGGATTTCCAGATTCTTGGTAATCATTAACCAACTCAAGACAGGCATAGCCCTGCCCTGCCTCCCCCTCAGCTGAGGCCTTGCTGGAGAATGTCTGGGAAGGGCATTCACAGAGCACGGAGACGTCCAAAGCCGCATGGAGGGTGCCTGGTGAAAGGCCAAGTGGGGGCCGAGTGTGGCCATGCCATGGGACAAGGTTGAAGAGAGCCTAATGGCATCTGAGGAAAAAGAACTCTAAGGAAGCTATTCTTGGGGAAACGGAACATTCACCCCCAAATCTGGCCAAGCACTGTGCAGTAGACTTCTTAGGCTCCTTCTCAGCCTTATCGTTGACTCGATATTTACTTTACCCTCCCTTCCCCCTGTGCAGGGAGAAGGCCGAGACGTTTATGCCTATAGAGCGGGCCATAAAATCTTGACTCTTAGATAATATCATTTTATCATTCTTTGTAGTAGGAAAACAATAAATATTTTAAAATATGTTTGTCTGTGTTTTCAGACTTAGTGGCCAACCTGTGTGTGTGTGTGTGTGTGTGTGTGTCTGTGTGTGTGTGTGTGTGAGAGAGAGACAGAGAGAGAGAGAAAGAGAGAGAGAGAAAGAGAGAAAGAGAGAGAGAGTCTGCTAGGCCTGCCATAACAAAATACCAGACTGGGTGTCCTATATAACAGAAATTTATCTTATAGTTCTGGAGGCTGGAAGTTCAAGATCAAGGTGTTGGCAGGTTTGGTTTTTCCTGGGGCCTCTCTCCTTGGCTTGTAGATGCCGTCTTCTCCTGTGTCCTCACAGGGTCTTCCCTCTGTGTGTGTCTGTGTCTTACATCTCTTGTTCTTATAAGGAGATCAATTGTTGTGGATTTGGACCCACACATATGGCCTCATTTTACCTTAATTACCTCTTTACAGATTCTTTCTCCAAATACAGTCACATTCTGAGGTACTGAGCATTAGAACTTCAATATATGAATTTTAGAGGGACACAGTTTAGCCCACAACAGTGTGTGTGTGTGTGTGTGTGTATGTAACAGTGTATATACACACACATATACATACACGTAACATATATACAGACATATATAGTCACACACATATGCAGACACACACACACTGTTATGTGTGTGTATATATACAGTTATATACAGTATGTAAAAACCCATACTATATATAAAATATATATTATGTAGATTTTTATGTATACTTCTTATTACACACACATCCACACAATTCTGAGATACTGTCCAATTGTGCTTGAAACTTCCTCCTGTCTGCCTTGGGTAGCTTTCCCCATAAAGTAGACCTCACATTTCTCTGCTCTTCCGGACACTTGTTGTCTGCATTAGTTAATCTTTGCAAATTTCTCTGCAGGGCAGGCTCCCTTAACCTTCTAACCTCACCATGACTGTTAAGTAGGAACGGAATGGAGGCACTCTGCTCCGGGGAAACTTCACCAGTGGAGCCTGTAGGTGGAATCTCAAAGCAAAAATGCCTTCTGGGTGGGGGCTGGAAGGGGTGAGCGGCCTCCTTGCTTTTGTTTCTCTGGAATTCCTTTAGCAGCAAGCAGGAAAAGTGCCCGCAGCAGGGGACTCTCACAGGGTAGACTTCTGTTTAGGCTGAGGAAGCAGGGATCCAGCCAAAGACCAGGAAAACACCATGCTTCTGGGTTAAAGATAAACCAAGAAGGTATTTTAAAAGCGAGCTGCTGGTCCAGTGGGAACAATAGATAAGTTAAAGGCCTGGGGATGAAGCCAATTTCATCTCTGACTACTGTTGTTAGAAAACTATAAATGACATAAAAATTGGCAACAGTGGTCCACTTGAAAAGTTTTTCCAGACAATCTTAACTTTTCCTTTGGTTTATGGTCAAAATGGACAGAGACAGCTTATCTTTCCCAACAGTCCACACTTCACTCATTTGAGGTGACTTCTCTACTTGTCATTTACAAATTGGTCAACGTGTGTGTGTGTGTGTGTGTGTGTGTGTGTGTGTGTGTTTTGAGACACAGTCTCATTCTGTCACCCAGGCTAGAGTGCAGTGGCATGATCTTGACTCACTGCAACCTCTGTCTCCCAGGCTTGAGAGATCCTTCTGCCTCAGCCTCCTGAGTAGCTGGGACCACAGCCACGCGGCTCCACACCCTACTAATTTTTGTATTTTTGATAAAGACAGGGTTTCACCATGTTGCCCAGGCTGGTCTCAAACTCCTGAGCTCAAGTGATCCACCCACCTTGGCCTCCCCAAGTGCTGGGATTACAGGCATGAGCCACCGCACCATCCTATTTTTTTAACCAGATGTGGGTACTAATTTGTCTGAGTTCTTGCTACTCAGGGTAGCAAGGATGGGCCTCTAGCAGAAGCACTGTCTGGGAGTTTGTGGCAAATGCAGAATCTCAGGTCCCACCCAGACCTAATCTGCATTTTACCAAGATCCCCAGTTGACCCTTATTTTTATTAAACATTGAGAATCAGTGGTATAAGGCCCTAATACCCCAATAGCAACTCTTCTGAAAAGGGGAGACCACCTCCAAAAGTGCAATACTCTTACTATATGGGATTGTTTTCATATAGTACCCGATGTTGAGTACATGATAAGCAAATAAATGCGTTTTGATCACTGATAGGTCTGCTTTCTTCCTGCTTTTTAGTCTGCACATTTGTGGTTTTCGTATTTATCTAATTACATTATTTTTATGCTGTGCTATCATGGGTCACTAACTTGAGTTTCTGTGCTTCAGTTTTGTCTTCTGTAAAGTGGAATTTAAAATAATATGTGCCTCATAATATTCTTCTAAGCTGCGAATGTGTTAATACCTGCGAAGCGCTTGGTGTCCTGCCTGGCATATCACAAGAGCTCAATAAATGTTAGCTAAAAGCACACAGCAGGACCTTCATAAATGCTTATGCTATAATACTCCTATCAGCTGAGAATTGCTATGTTTTCCTTGAATGTGTTATCTCGTTTCTCACCACCCATTTGCACGTTACCTTCCTTATTGCTGTTTAGTTCTCTTGAAGAAAGAGTAAAAGACAACCACTGTTTTCTCATTACATTGCATAACACAATGCTTAGCATATAGTGGATTCTTAGTCAGTATGGTGGAATTATCTTTGTTCATGCACACAACTGCTTTGATAGCAAAGACTGATTTTACTTGTTTGATATTTGTTCCACTGCTGCAACGACTAAATTGGCTATACTTCTTCATTCACTCATTTGACATGACAAATTTTGACATGACAAATTCTGTTCTAGGTGCTATAAATATGGCAAGAACAAATCAAAATCTCTGCTCTTAAAGAGATAATTTCTAACGAAGGGAGGCAAATAGTAAGGAAATACATATGATATATAACGTGATCACATGTGCTACAGGTATAAAATCAATCATGATAAAGGGGAAAGAAGATGCTGGGTGGAAATTGGTATTTTGCAAAGGGTGATCGGGAAGGTTTTGCTGATCAGGGAGCACTTGAGAAGACACCACTAGGCAAAAGGTAGCAAACTATTTAGCTAACAGCAGGGTAAGGTGGAAAGTTTTTAGACCAGCAGGCAAACAAGCAAGTGCAAATGCCCTGAGGTAGGAGCTTGCTTGGCATGTTAGGAGTCATTAGGAGGCCACTGTGGCTGAAGCAGAGTGAGAAAATAGAAGCATGGCAGTCAGGTGGGTGGGTGGAGCTACACAGGTGCAGGGTGGGGCATGGCTGCCAAGGTTGTGTGGGAACTTGTTGGTCATTAAAAGGCTTTGGCTACTAGAAGATTTTAAGCAGAAGAGGGACATATATTTTAAAATGATTACTCCAACTGTCCTATGGAGAAATAAGGGGGCAAATATTGAAGCAGGTAGAACACATTGGATGTGACTAAAATAATCAAGGGGAGAGATGCTGATGGCTTGACATAGGACAGCAGAGGTAAAAGTGCCAATAAATCCTCAGATACATTCAGGATATATTTTAAAGACACAGCCTATGAAGTTTACTGCATAATTAAATGTTGTGAAGTTGGGGAATAAGGGAAAGAGAGGAGCCAAAGATGATTCTAAGGTCTTTGGCCCAAGCCACTGCAAAAATTGAGTTGTTGTTTAGTGGGATTGGGGAAAAGAGCAAGTTTGAGAGGAAAATTGAGCATCTGGATTTGGACACAGTAAGTTCAATTTGTTCAGTTGACATCCAAGTGGAGATGTCAAGTAAGGAGGAGGATGTACAGGTTAAAGTTCAGAGGAGATGGTTAGAGCCATGAAATTGTATGAGATCACCTAGCGGGTGAGGGTAGGCAGAGAGAGAAGAGCTTTGGGCTATTTCCAAATGGAAAGTTAGAGCTGATGAAGAGGAAGCAGCAAAAGAGATTGGGAAGTTCTCCAGAAGCTAGGAGAAGACCTAAGAGTCCAATAAACCAAATAGTGTTTTGATGCTTTTGCTAGTTTACACAAGACAAAAATTGAGAATTGATCATTAGATTTAATAATGAAGAATTCTCTCGTAACCTTGATACACATAGTTAACATGGAGTGGTGGGGACAAAAACCAGATTAGATTTGGGTCAAAAAGGAATAAGGAAGAAAAGTAGAGATAAGGAGAATAAACAAATCTTTTGCAAGTCCTTTGAAAAGTTTTGCTCTAAAGAGAAGCAGAGAAATTAGGTGGTCACGGAGAGAGATGGAGAGGGCAAAGGAGGATTAAAAAGATGGGGGGCCTTATAATGTGTTGACATATTTATGAGAATTCTCTAACAGGGAAGAGAGACAATGAGGCAGGAGAGAGGGCTCACTCCTCAAGATGATAGGAGGGGGTGGGATCTAACGCCTAAGTGTCATCGTTGCTGTTGGTTAGCAGTAATGACAGCGTATCTGTGGCAAAACAGAGAAAAAGCAGAATGTATGGACTGGCACAGATATCAGTTGTTGAGTAAAGGTGATGGTGGCAGAATGGGGGGTTTCTCTTTAATTTCTACTTAAAAAATGGAAATAGGGAGATAAGGAAGCGAGATGAGGCGTTTTAGAAGAAAGAAGGTGGGAAATAAACATCAAAGATGGTGGGAGAGAGTGGGGTTTGGACACATGGAATCTCTGATGGGCAATATTCAGGTCCACGTGCGGCTTGTGGTCATGAGTTTAATGTGGAACCAGGCAGCGTCTTAGTATGCTTTTCTTTGGTCTCTTGCTGCAGTCCAGGCACAGGTGTGAAACTCATCAATAATTGTACCTTACACGGCTGTACTCATGGGTGGGCACCATGTGCACACAGCCATTGCAGGGACTGCATTTCCAGCTCTTTAGGAAGCCCACAGAAGAAGCACACTGAATACAAGTTATTGAGGAAAATCATTTACTCCCAAAGAATAAGCTGTTTCCTTGATATTCAGTTATTCAGTTCACATTGAATTTTGACATTCTTATTTTCAAAGACATTTATATATGAGAAAGTGATATATTTATGCATTCTTCAGCCCATGTAATTCTTCAATTTTGCTTAGGCACATTTAGCCAAGCCATCTTCATGACCCTTAAAACATGGTAACTTTATTTAGTGCCTACACTTCAGAGTGGGCAGCTTTCAACTAGAAAGTTGTTCATTCTGCTGAGTCAGCAGTGTGCTGAAAAGCCAGAAAGGGTTAATGCAGCTATTTCTGGGGTTCATAGTATCTCCTCCATGCCAGGATATTGCTTATTTTATTATTAAAAATAAAAATCTTTTGTTTTTCCCACAAGGTTGAGGAAGCCCTTAAAGATCGATCTGTGTCATCCCAATTTCCCTTCTTGCCCCTTCCTCCAGTGTCAATTTACATTATTACTCAACTTGCATGACTATTTCTTACCTGGTATAGCAGTATTTGGAAGAGGCCTTAAAAGCTGAGGGCCCTGGCAAGGAGGAAATGAGTGAGCCTTATTCTCCTAAACATCTTTTGCAACCTCCTGTGGTGAGTGCAGGGGTTGCTCTGCGCTTCTCAGTTCTTGGGCCACTCTTGGGCAATGGGAAGCTGACTGTGCCCATGGTCACTAATGGTCCTTGACACGGTGTTTGTGTTGAACTCTCCAATGTATGCACGCGTTGTTGGCTGTTATTACTTGCGACGCACAGGTGCAGGAAATACCCAGGGGGCTTCCCCACAGATCTGTGCTATGCACATCGTCCATTCGATGACACCCTGTACTCTTTCACACCCCGCCCCCCCTCAAGTCTTCCCTGATAATGCCAGGGCAGGGACATTCTGTTCTGAGCTCATTAGTCAAGAATGTCACCAGACTGTCCTGAAGAGGGTTTTCTCTGGTGTGAGCTCTCCGTCGTTGGGAAAGAAAATCTGAAAATCATGCTGTCTTTCCATGAGTCCAACTCAGGGTTGCATTCCCTCACCTGTGTCCAGCCACCAGAGAGATCCCCTTCCAACTACAGGGAATTCACAAAAATGCCCAAATTAGTGGCTCCCTGACAGACAGAAGAGTTTAATTGGTTCCTGGAATAGTGATCTTTGAATTCATTTCTCCGAATGGTTCATGATTTTGTTTCATTTTTCTGGGAAACGCAGCCCTTCTAGTGCACTCATTTGGAGGAGAGTAACATTCGTGCCTGCCTGCAGCCTGTTTGCAGGAATCTCTGGGAAAGCTATAGGGTCAAGCATTTGATTCACAAATATTTATCAAGCGTCTACCCTTTGCGCTGTTCTTCAGATAAGTGATTCTCAAATTTTGCTGCATTTTAGAATCCCTTGGGAGCTTAACAAAAATCCTGATGTCCAAGTTACAGTCCATACCAAGTAAGCCTCTGGGGATGGGACCCAGGCATCTGGATTTTTTGAAGCTCTCTGGGTGATTTCAATGTATACCCACACTTGGAACCTATGCTTTTTGACAGTGCTCCTCAACTTTAATATGAACACAAGTTACCTGGGGATCTTGTTAAAATGGAAATTTTGATTCATTTGGTCTGGGGTGGGGCCTGGGATTCAGCATTTCTCTAAAGTTCCCAGGGAATCCTGATGCTGCTGCTCTACAGACCACATTTTGAGTAACAAGCAATAAAGTTCCTTTATTCCCAGATGTGTCCAACTTTCCCGGCTCAGAGCCTCCACACATGCTATTCTTCTTTCCCTGGAACTACCTCCCTGAAACTCCCAGCCAAGATGCCTCTCCATCCTTTGGTCCTCCAGTTTTACCTCGCCACCCAATATAATCTCCACCTTCTTTCTCTAATTCTGTATCACTGTGTGCTTACTTGCTAGAATTATCACATCTCATAATTATTTATTCATTTTCTTGTTTCCTTGTTTTCTCAATGATCTCTCCCACTAGTGCAAGTGCCAAGAAGCCAGGAGCCATGTCTATTTTCTTCTCTACAAGTTCTACTCAGTACCTAATTCAGTGACTAATACAGAGCAGGAATTTGACAGATGCCTGTTGAATGAATGACAATAGGGGATTTTGGACAGTTGGATTAATTTTTCCATTTAAGGTAAGACAAGTAAGGTAAGACAAGTAATCACCTGGAGAGCTTCAAAAAATCCTGATGCCTGTGTCCCATACCCAGAGGCTTATTCGGTATGGACTGTGACTTGGTAATAAAAATAATAAAAGTAACAGAAGAGAGAATCTTTGAGCATGTCTTACCTGGCCATTTTCCTGACATGAATGTTGACAGAAGTATGGTATAGCTCAGTAAGCTCAGACCCTTTTCTAAAAACAGAGCTTCAAGAAGAACACTAGTAAAATCTACTGTATTGCCTAGGGAAGGTGCCCTGTTCTTACGAAAGGATGAATCATCAGTTTCCCAGTGTTATCTTTTCAGGTCATTGCAGCTCACTAAAATAGCACCCAAGGTAAATAATCAACAGAGAAGTACCATAAATGTCTCAGCAATTGAGTTAACCTTGGAGCTGCTTCTCTACTAACCTGATACCATATCTGAGGCCTTAGCTCCCAAGGGCAGGATCTTATCCTTTGCCAAATCTGGACTTAGATGTCAAGCACACCAAGAATCTTGTTTAACACTTCATTTTAAATTTAACTGGTGAAAATACACATACACAAAAAGTCATATTGATTTTCCATGGTCGGTGCAGAGGTCAGATGTGATAGTCTAAGGCTTTGTGCATTACTGGCAAGGGACCACGATGAAGCCAACTGAAGTAATCTAGTGGGATTAAGAGAAGAGATACAACCTTTGTCAAGTCTCACAAAAGCCCAGAATGGGAGACAAGGTGCTATTCATGTGTGCCTTAATTTTGAGAAAACGAAGGCACAGAAGGACAGACCCATTGCCTAAAGTCACCCAGTGAGTTCAGGTTGGGAAGCTGGGAAGAAGAATAGCACCAGAGCATCTCTGTCCCCATCAGAGGCTTCAAGTCACTCAGCCATACAGTTTTCCTCTTCCTAAATTCAGCAAGCAATTTATGTATTATATTGTTTTTAATTTTTCTAAATGGGGTGTGATAGAATAACAGGTCTGTTTCAAGCATATACATCCTGAAGATAATGAATGTTTGCGTTTGCCTTGTGTATTTATTTAGTTTTCATTTAGAAAAATCGGCTGTTACCATTGACCTTCTCCTTGGTGCTGGGATGCCCACGGGCTGTGGATACTGGTGTGTGCATGTTAGTGATGCCTCCCTTTGCACCTTGTAGTACAGCAAACAGAAAAATGGCCAGAGGGCATTGGGGTGGTATTTAGGGACAAGACACATGCCGTCTATGTGTTTGGTGATGCCATGTGTATCAGTGCCACAATGTTATTTAATCTGATCCACACATGTCTAAGGAAATTTTGGTGAGATTATCCATCTCTTGGTCACATTCCAGGGTCTGGAAGTCTCTATAATGTCTAGGGTGTAGATAAGCAAAAATATAAATCAGTAAGAGTAGATGAGTGCTGGAGAAAGTTTCACTTTGGCCAATCAGTTCTAACCCTAAGAAACGGGGATAAAATCCATTCTATTGTGGGCTTCAGAAGAATCTATGAGGAACAGGAGTTTGATCAGGGTATAATATCTCACAGAGCTGGCAGAACTGAAGAAGCTGCCTTGAGAAATCACAGAATTCATAGGATCTCAGCTTTGGGTACCACACGGGGGTTCTCCTCACCTAACACAGGTGTCCTTGGTGAGCATTCCTATAGCACTGTGATTGAGGGAGAGCTCAGATCTCCGGGAAGAGTTGTCCTTTGTTTGTTCTAATTTTAAAGTAGGTCTTCCTTAATTTGAGCCTATGTCAGCATCACTGTAACCTCCACACATTTGTCTTAGTTCTCACCTCTAAGAGCAATCCTCCTCCTGGCCATTGCATGTCCCTTACAGCAGTAGAGCTGAATTAATAAGTTTAAAAAGAAAAGGCTCTTTCTTCACAACAACAGTCCTCTGGAAGCTTAGACATAGATATTAAGAATGGATTTATTTAGTATTCTCTTCAATACTTGGAATATGAACACAACTGCTTGTTTCTTGTATGATATGGTTCTAGACCCCTCATGCTAGCTGTCCTTCATTCATTCACTTATTCATCACGAATTCATTGATTCACACAAAGCTTAGCAGATTTTCTGAAATATACAGAACACGGGAGCTGTTACCTCCCTTGTGCCATCAACAAAGCAGGCTTATTTTGAGTTAGCTTCTTTATTAACAGCTTCATCACACAGTCCTGATCTGCTTCTAGCTGAGCCCACCTTTTGCTGGCTGTCAGCAGGAAGACATCTGCCAAAATACAGTTTTATAGTTATCTCCAAATACAGTTTAAGACTGTCTGGAAAGAGAGTGGCAGTAGATCCAATAGTAACTGCTGGAAAGAAGCAGATTAACTCTGAGGAAACAGGCAAGGAGGTAGAGTTTGCAACAGGCAGTGGATTGTGCTTCGGGGTAGTAGGTTTCCCTTCACTGGAATTTTTCAGATGTTCAGGGTCTTTCCCCACTGGCAGCATGAACTACAAGATTTGATTCAGTTTAAGAGTTCGTGATTTTAGTGGTCCTTCTGTCTTTAGACTTGTACATTTTTTTCCCCTGATAATTTGGTCTTGTTTTCACTAGATGTAGGGAATAAGCCCTTCTATCTGCTACACCTCTGGGTAAAGTAAGCAGCCCATTCTTTGCCCCATGGAGCCATCCATGTATGACTGAGGCAGGGAATTTACTCAGTTCCAGGTTCTAAGAGCTTCACATGTCTTTAGTCTTGCTGTTCTTCTAATAGTTTTAGAGCTTTATGTCTTACGTTTATTTATTTGTTTAGAGACAAGATCTTACTCTCTCACCCTGACTGGAGTGCAGTGGCATGACGATGGCTCACTGCAGCATCAACCTCCTGAGCCCAAGCAATCCTCCCACCTCAGCCTCTTGAGTAGCTGGGACTATAGGTGCACTACACCTGGCTAATTTTTGTATGTTTTGTGGAGACGGGGTCCCACTATGTTGCCTAGGCTGGTCTCCAACTCCTGGGCTCAAGGGATCCTCTCACCTTGGCCTCCAAAGTGCTGGGATTATAGGTATGAACCACTGTATGCAGCCCATCTGTTGTATTTAGGTCTTTGGTGCATTTGAGTTAATTTTTGCATGTGATGTAAGGTAAGGTCCTACTTCATTCTTTTGCATGTGGATATCGAGTTTTTCTGATATTAATTGCTAAAGAGACTGTCCTTTACTGAATGGCCTTGGCATCCTTGTCAAAAATCATTCAACCCAATAGACAAAGGTTTATTTCTGGGCCCTCTATTCTATTCCATTGGTCTATACATCTATTTTTATGCCAGTGCCACACTGTTTTTATTACTGTAGCTTTGTGGTAAAATTTGAAATCAGGAAGTATGAGATTGCCAATATTGTTCTTTTTCAACATTGTTTGGGCTACTCAAAGTCCCTTGAGATTCCATATGAATTTTAGAATGAATTTTTCTAATTTTGCAAAAAAATGCTATTGGGATTTTGTTAAGGTTTGCACTGAATCTATAGATTGCTTTGGGTGGTAGTGAGACTTTAACAATGTTACACCTTCCAATCCATAAATATGGATATCTTTCCAATCCGTTTGTGTCTTTAATTTCTTTCAGCATTTTTAAAAAAAAAATTTTCATTTTTTATAGAGATGGGATCTCACTATGTTGCCTAGGCTGGTCTTAAACTTCTGGCCTCAAACAATCTTCCCACTTTGGCCTCCCAAAGTGCTAGGATCACAGGCGTGAGCTATTGTGCCCGGCCCTCACCAATATTTTGTAGAATTTAGTGTACTAGTCTTTTATCTCCTTGGTTAAGTTTATTCCTATTTTATTATTTTTGATGCTATTGTAATTCGAATTTTTTTCTAATATTGCTGTTAATCTTCTATTTTATAGATGAGCATACTGAAGCCCAGAGACATTAAGTAACTAGGCTCATTAGTAGTGACAGTGATGTTGCCACCAAACTGTAAAGCCAGGATTTGGACTCAGGCAAGTGACCCCACAGTTGTGTTCTTGAGTGCTCCACCGCAGCATCACTACAGGAAGTGGACTAGATTCTCATGGGCCTTCAGGATGATGAAGAATTCTGGACGATTTACAGTGGAAAATCAGGATTACTGTGGTTTTTGCCTGCTCCTCCCTGTTCTTCCTTCTTTGTTGTTTAGACAAATTCTAAACGACAGACCTTCAGCTCTCAAATGCTAGAACCTTGACGAAGATTTATAGCCTATTCTCTTTAGAGTGCCACTTTTCCTTCCTTTCTTAACTGGACTATGAATGGCTCTTATCTACTTTTGTTCTTTTATTTTTTTCACATTTTACTCCAATTTCCTAGAATAAATTCATAAATAATTGGAAGCTGGTTTGGAGACACAGCAATAAATTTTTTTAAATGATGCTTTGTAGTAGCGACTTAGGCATTTTCCTTATTATGGATATGTCTGGACTGTACAAGGATCTCTTTGTATAACCAACCTCAATAAACTGATGGATGGAACAGAGGCTTCATTTGTCTTTGGCACAGTGGCACTAACCTGCTTCAGAATTTTGACATCAATTGTTAGACATTAAGTAACTTGCCTCTTTCTCATGAGCCCAGTCATCAAAAAGGGACATGGAAATATCCTAATGTTTCACCTGTTTTATTACAGGGTTTTAATAACTTAGAGAACCTCCAAATGAGAGTACTGAAAAAATATCTATAGTGTAACACGCTCTGTGCAACCAGATGAAGAAATAATGTAGGGAAAAAACCAGTGTTGCTTCATTTCTCTCTTTCTCTCTCTTTCTCCATCCATCCACCCATCCATCCGAATAATGACTAAACTCTACTCATACTTATCCCTACATGTCCCTACAATCCATTCATTTTTTCATCTCCACTGCATTGCCTCCATTCAGATGTCATTATCATTTGTCCACTTTGCTACTGCAGCCTCCCAACTGGACCCTCTTCCTCCAGTCTTTCCCTTTCTATTCCATTCAACACACTGCTACTAGGGTCACCCTCCTGAAAAAATTCTCATCAATGGATGTCCTCACATGAAAACACTTGATTTTGAATCATTTTGCTTCTCCTTTCTCTCACCTCCTTCCACCATATTTCCTCCAGTTAGACTTACTTTTAGGACATTCTATTTTCCCTTCTTGGAGCACTAATCCTTTTTATCTGGTATATTAGTCTGCTCAAGTTTACTCCAAAAAATGGAAACAACTGTAGTTTCAGACAGGAAGAAATTTAATACAGGGAACTGGTCACATAGATAATAGAAAAGCTGAGAAAGCAAGCAAGGGAACTGATGTGACTCAGAGACTGCAAAGAAGAATAAATCATTGCTACCCTTAGTCCTGGAGGGATGGAAGGAGGAGATGATGTTATTTGATCCCAGGAACCAGATACTAAAATCAGAGCAGGAGCCATGGACCAGCGAGAAAGGGGCTATCCTGTGAGTTCTGGAGCCATGGAGGAGACTCAACCATTGCTTGGGATCCTCCTGAAACAAAAAGGAATGAGGGAGTGAAATATCCAGCTTTTCCCCTCCCCTTATCAGCCATTCTCCCACTGTGCTTTCCTTTGGCTGGATTGCATTGAAACTGGAGGATAAGGGGCCCATGAAATGCAGTCCCCTCTGATACATGGCAGGACAGAGCAAGGCAGGAAAGTGATCTGCATAGCCAACTAATTCCCTCTTTTCAGGATTCAGCTTAAATGATACTTCTGGAAAGCTTTTCCTGATGTCGCCATAGTATCCAGTAACAGCCCTCACTTTAAATTTGTCACCTTTTGTCACAGATGCTCATTGAATTGTTGTGTTCTCAGCTCACCTGTAAGGTTCCACAGAACATCATGGCCTCTATCACATAGTGACATGATAATAAATATTTGTTGAATGGGAAACTGATCTTGGTAATTGTCCCTTATAGAAAGTGTATCAGTTTACACTTGCTGAAGCGAGAAAAGTGCTTATTTCTCAACATCTTCACCATTGTTTATAAGTAAACTGCCTAATTCTTGCGAATCTGATAGTTGCAATTGGTATCTCAGGGAAATTTTTATTTGCATTCCTCTTATTGTGAGTGAGGACTTTTTATATGTTTAAGAATCTGCAGTGACTAATTTTATCATTTGTCCGTTTTTTCCATTTGGTTGTTGATCTTGGTCATATTGATTTATAGGAACTTGTTGTATATCAAGAAAATTAACTCTTTGCCGAGTATGAGTTACAAATATTTTTTCTTAATTTGTTGTTCATTTGAGACTTAGATTATCATGCTTTACCAGGCAAAATTTTTCAAATTTGTCAATATTTTCTTTTATGATTTCTAATTCAATATGGGCTTTGATTTATTCTTAGGCATTTCTCACTCTAGTGATTGTATATATAAAAAATCTCCTGCTTTCTTTTGAGTATTTCATAGTTTTGTTTTCTTTTTTTAATGTTTAGATCTGTATCAATCAAGAACGTATTTTGATAACAAGGAAAAAGGCATGGATGATCCTTTTTTTTTTTTGAGATGGAGTTTCGCTCTTGTCACCCAGACTGGAGTGCAATGGTGCAATCTCGACTCACTGCAACCTGTGCCTCCTGGATTCAAGAGATTCTCCTGCCTCAGCCTGCAAAGTAGCTGGGATTACAGGCGCCCAACACTACGCCCAGCTAATTTTTGTATTTTTTAGTAGAGACGGGGTTTCGCCATGTTGTTCGGGCTGGTCTCGAACTCCTGACCTCAGGTGATCCACATACCTCGGTCTCCCAAAGTGCTGGGATGTAGAAGACTGATGAACTAAGATGAAAGATTCTAAAAGGCAGAGTAAAATCTCTCACAGGCTTGTGCTTGGGAAACAAAGTGAGCAACTGACCTCACTACAAAGCCACTCTTCTCAAGATCTCTGTCAGATTTTGAAGACACATGGGACGGAAAGCTAGAGATCTAGGATGGAACCTGATGGGGCAGAGCTAGGGCTCAAATCTTTTGGTACCAAGGACATGGAGATTCTTCAGGCTTTCAGTCAAAAAGCCAGAGGTCAATGCTCTAGGGGCACAGGCAAACCAGAGAGGAACTGGTTCTCACTACACTGCAACTCAGCAGCAATCCTGCTCAATTTCTGACTAAATTGAATTGATCAAAACCTTGGTTTGTCTTCCTAATAGGACAGGAGGAATACTTTCTGTTGGAAGGTAACATCTTCTAGAGTGAGTACAGTTCTTTAGTACACACTATCTGGAAAACATTTTTAAAATTATTGTTCATGTAAGGAAGCAATATGACTAATAAGCAACAGAAAAATCATAAAATAGAGGCAGACCCGCAGGTGTTACCAAACCAGTAAAATTGTGATTATTCTACTCAAGTAAATAGAACAAGAAGGACAAAGTAGAGAAAAGCATGGATAATTTTAATAGATAATTCAAATTCATAAAAAGAAATTAGGTGGATATTTTGAAATGGAAAAATATAGCAAATCCCAAACAGGATAAACACAAAGAGGTGAATTATAGTCAAACTGCTTAAAGTCAAAACTTAAAATCATTAAAGCAGCTGAGGGGAGGGGCATCTATTACTTTTAAAGAAACAATGTTAAGTAACATTGAGAGGTATATCTCATCTGAAGTGACAAAAGCTAGAAGACAACTGAATATTTTTCAGTGGTTGAAAGAAAACAACTGCCAATCTGGAATTCTATATCCAGTAAAAATACCTTCAAAAATGGAGAAACATACATGTTTTCAAACAAAGGCAGAGTGAAAGAATTAATCAAAAACAAACTACACTAAAGAAAAAGCTAAAGAACAATGAGCCCAATCCTTCAGACCTAAGGAAAATGATTCCAGATGGAAACATGGAAATGTTGGAGGAAAGAAAGAATAGTATAATAAGAAAATATATGGAAATTTCAACAAATGCCAACTGTACAAAACAATAATTTTGATGTCTGGTGGAGTTTAAATTATATGCAGAACTGAAAATGTATGACAATAATAATGCAGCAGTGACTGTGGGTAAATGGAATGTAAAGATTTCTGGCAATGTAAGTAAACTGGTAAAAGCAATCATTTATGTTAGTACTATAAGAAATTAAGAATGCCTGTTATAATCACTAAGGGAACAATAAAATAATTTAACACTAACAATAGAAGAAAAAAATTAAATAAAAAATTGATTACTTCCAAAAACGATAAGAAAAAAGGAGAACCATAGTAAGTCAAATGGAAAACAAACAAAAAGGTAGTTAATATTAATTCAAACTTATCCATAATTATATAAAATATAAATGAACTAAATACTCTGTCTTAGTTTGTTTTCTGCTTCTATAAAAGAATACCACCGATTGGGTAATTTGTGAAGAAAAAAAATTACTTCTCACAGTTCTAGAGTCTGGGAAGTCCAAGAGCATAGCTCTGGCACCTGGCAGGGGCTTTCATGCTCCATCCTGACATGGCAGGAGGGCAAGCCAGCACATGCCAGATAGAGAGAGGAAATCAGGCCAAACTCTTATTTTGTTTGTGTAATCAGAAACCCACTCCCATGAAAATGGCATTAATCCACTAGTGAATACAGAGTTCTCATGACCTAATCATCTCTTAAAGATCCAGCTCCCATTACCATTACATTGGTAGTTAAATTTCAATATCAGTTTTGGTGGGAACATTCAAACCATACCATACTCTCAATAAAACAATACTGTTGTCAGACTCCATAAGAAAATCAAAATAAAGTATATAATACTTACAAGAGCATAAAGTTTCAAACTAAAAGGATATGAAAAGATATACTGTGCAAACATCAATCAAAAGGAAGCTGGGGCCAGGTGCAATGGCTCCCATTTATAATTCCAGCACTTCGGAAGGTGGAGGCAGGTGGACCACTTGAAGTCAGGAGTTCAAGACCAGCCTGGCCAGCATGGTGAAACCCCATCTCTACTAAAAATACAAAAAAATTAGCCAGGTGTGGTGACAGGTCTGGGACCTGTAATCCCAGCTACTAGGGAGGCTGAGGCAGGAGAATTGCTTGAACCCAGGAGATGGAGGCTGCAGTGAGCTGAGATCGCCCCACTGCACTCCAGCCTGGGCAACAGAGCAAGACTCCATTTCAAACAAACAAACAAACAAACAAAAAATGGAAGCTGAGGAGTCTATATAAATATCAGAAAAATAATTAGTTAGAAAAACATTTTACCATGATAAGTGGTAAGTCTAGCAAAAAGAAATTGTAACTCTGAATATTTATGTGTACCAAAAATGTAATTTAAAATACATAAAGAAAAAAGTAAATGGTAAAATAAATCAAAAATGTAATAAAGACACTAACACTTCTTTCTTAATACCTTTGGTGTCATTATGCTAATTAGGCCTCTTTGGCAGGAAGTAGCAAGAGCAAGAAGGTTATGAAGCAGGTTCACGCCATGTATTGCAAGCTGGCCTGACACTTGGGTCTTATGTCCCACCAGATCCAATAGTATTGGGAATATCTGTGGTTCTTAGAAGTTTCTGGAAAACCCCAGGAGGATATTCACAGACAAGTTCTAGATTTTAGAGTAAGGGCATGTCCTCTTCAGCCAACAATTCTTTATTTGAAAAGCAACTCCAGATTATGCCTGATCGTGGGATACTAAATGACTGTGCAACCCAGACTTCTCTTGAACTCGGTATTACCTGATCCATTGAATCGCAGCATTTCACTGTCAAATAAAAATGAATATAAAAAACTGGACCTGAGCAGGTAAGGAGGCACAAGTATACTTATAAGCCGGCATCTCAGACTCCTAGGATAACTGTTCCTACTGCTTTGTAGGAACCCATACCCACGACCCATGGGAGTTCCTTAAAACCAGCCAATGGATGAGGAAACCAAGTGGGCTAGGTTTATAGATGAAGCTGCCTATTATCTGCATAGAATTTGCCTTATAGTCCCATGTGGGATGATCCCTGAATGATAATAATGAAGGGAAAAGCTCCCAGAGGGTCTAACTTCATGCACTATATATAGTTGTCCACATCATGTGGAAAGAGGGATGATTACAATTATGGATCTACATTAATATCATGGGAGGTAGCTGATGAGTTGACCTGCTAAATAAAGACTTGGAAAGTTGCAAGAAGTTCTGGGGGAAATAGTAGATGGGCAACTTTTGGAATGGGCAAAGAGTATATAGATATTTGTATCCCCCATAAATGCCCAGACAGTATTGATGTCAGATAATCTGCTTAATAATCCAGTCATCAGGATAAGTCACCCTTATCCTGGATCTCAGTCAGTCTCCTTCTTTCACCACCCTATGTTACTATACAATGAGGCATGAAGGACCATGCTTAGGACTTAGCAGATTCCCTGGAATATCTCTGAGTACTTGTCTTTTGCCCAACAATTATGGTAAAAGAACTGTAGCAACCCAATAATCACAGGATGACTAAGCACTCAGATCCCACAAAAATGAAGATTTAGTTACACCCTCATAGAGAACACAGGCCAAGCTGAATGTCAGGAAACAAGAGATGGGTAAAAGAAGGCAGGTATGACAATCAACTTGTTCTCATGACCAGCTATGAAGGTGGAGCTATGTTTTATATTGTTTCTTTTTCCCCTGCTACCTTATAGCTTATAGGAAGAACACTCACAATAATGCTTTAAGTTTTCAAGGGGAATATGACTGAATTTATCCTGAGTGGATACCACTGAAAGAGTTTTGTGTGTCCCCTGTGTGGAAATCACAATATTTTCACCCAAACAACCAGTGTAGATGCCAAGGGGCAAAAGAGGAGGACTGGATCTTTTATTTTGCTCATTGAATCCACTCTCCACATTTTCCCATCTCATTCTGTACCTAAAATGGCTTATTTTTATGGATGCTATTAATGTGTCAATTTCCTTCTGCCTTCTTGTTGTGTTTGACTAATAGGAGGCCCAGGTGGGAGTCAGGAAGGCATGAAGAGAGTGATGTTAGGGTATTTATGCCCCTAAACACCCCCCTAGAGGCTGGTGGTGTTGTTCTTAGATAAGTTTCTATTAGGAGACCCTCTGTCTTCCAGTGAGGACTCTCTCTCTCTATCTCCTTCAGGCCCAGGAATAGTAATGGCCCTGTGCTGTTGCCTTGGGGTAATGCACTACCCCTTGCTGGTTTCCCTAAACTCTGCACCACCTTTGTAATTAGTCTCTCCACTAAATCCCCCTTAATTACTCATTTAGGTGCTCAAGTGAGAGATAGGTCTCAAATCAAGGGTTCTTCACACAATAAAATAATTGGAGGTGATCATTGTCCAGAAAAGAAAATGTAAGACTCAACTTTGCTGCTGAAATGCTGGAAAAGTCACTACTTTGCAAAGCAGGTTGCTAGCATTCAGCACAGCAGCGTGGGCACCCTGATGGCTAAACGAATGAGACAACATTGTAGCGCCACGACTGGTGATTTCTGTCCTCACATTTTCAATTGCCATTTCTCAGGCAGGCTCTTGAATAGGACATATAAACTACTTGCTGAGTTACACTTCCAAAATGTGAAGCTGATGTCATTGTTCTCCTCTTGAGTACAGCTAGAGGATACCTTTACTCTAGAGATACCAGCTAGTCTCGCTGTTCTTCTCCCCTGCCCAACCCAAGGCAACTTGGCATCTCTTTCATCAGTATTTCCCCTTTGTATTCAGCATGGAACCCTGTAAAAGAGGTGGGGGTGGCACCATGTCTCCGTTCTTCTCTGGGACACTTGTCTTCTCTAGAACTAACATACAGAGTATTTTCAGTTTCTCTTAAATTTGCTGTAGTGCCTAAAAACAGACTTTAAAGGAGCTATTTGGATCATTTACAAGCTGCCACAACGTGGTGTCTGCATAGGACATGAAGAATTAAGTGTTGAAACGTCCAAGCCTTCCTCTCTCTCTGAGGGGGTCTTCATGAGTGTTTTTACTCCCTCCCGTGAGAAGACACAAAGAGGTCTATGTGTAAAGCATAACCAGCCTTCCACACATCTGGACTGCTTCCACAATCTGTTTGCACAGGCAGCTGGAGGAGATCCGATGTACCTTGGCTCTACATTCCCCCAACATGGCACGTCGCAGGGACTTCCCCAGGAGAAGTGCTGAGCTACCCATGCCTGTGGCTGCAGCTTCCATCCATTCAGCTGATAGAGATTTGTACAGGACTGAGGCATCCTTCTCCTCAGGCTGCTCACCAGGCTGTGAACTGGGCAGGTGGCAGCTGGGTCACCCTGGGAGTTAGGGCTCAGTGGCTCTCCACCCAGCCTCCAGTTTCCTTTCTGTCTCCAGTTTCTGTGTCCAAATTTGGCAGCTGAAATGCAAGTCTGAATTATGTCATCTTCCTGGTCATCAGTGTCACCGTCCTGTCTGACAGTTCCCTTGCGGGCTCCTTTTACCGGTTTATTCAGATCAGAGTCATTTCTCAGGTTGAGCTAAAATAAGCAGCCCAATTAGGAAATCTCTGCACTTTCACAAAAGGCCTTCAATCAATTATACCTTCTCTTGAAGAAGAGTGGTGGCTGGAGTCCGACTTGTAATGGTGTTCATTATAAGGTATCTTCAATAGATATACAAGCAGTTTTGATTGGGATGGCCTAGGCTATTTGTCCTGTGAATGTTATCAGATGCGATCTGTACCTCTACAAACCACTCTTCACTTAAACCAGGTAGCATGAAGCGTGGTGTGGCCATTTCCATTGTTGCAGTGCGTTTAAATTCCCCGAAGGTTGAGGATGGGTTGAGTGTTCTTTATTTTCCTTATCTGTTTGATCACCTTATGCATTTGTTACTCTCATAAGATTAATGGCAACCTCAAAAAAACAGAAAAACAAGTCTACCGCATGGAGGCTTGTTGCCTCCAATTCCCACAGAATTATTTGGTCATTACACCAAGACCTGCAGCTTATTTGGGCTTTTATAATTAAGTAGACTCTGTCTTCATAGGTAAGCACTTGGTCATGGTGGAGATTGTTCCACATGTGTATAATCACTGGATGTAAGAGCATTGCTTTTAGGGAATGGCCTGTGTCTGGAATCTTGAGCACTAATCACCCCTCCACCCTGGCATAAAGTGTTTTAGCATTATGGATGTCTGTCTATTCTTAGCAAAACTCAAGTTTAACAAAAACAAGTCATGTTTATGCTACAGCTTAATTCCAACTAAAACCTTTATCAGTATTTTTTTTAAATGTTACAATTTCTTAAGAAAATATCTGCCAGTCTTCTCTTGTGTGTTTTTTTCGGATCAAGAGATTACATCAGCATCTATATTAAGTGAACATTCCTGCCCACTTTTTTTTTTTCTGTGACTGGAGTTTTCATTTCTGACAACTGTGGGATTTGTTTTCCTAGCCCATATTTACTTTTTACTTCAAAAACTCTGAACCGTTTCTTTTTTCTGCTAAAACATCAGTAGCTACCATGGGTAAGAGTGACAAATCAATACCACTATAAACAGAGCTGATATGATTTACTAATAAGAATTAATTGTTGATCTTAAGACTTCTGAAATATTTTTCATTGGCTTTGCATTTTTAATATGAATATTAATTAAGAATTCTTTAGAAAGAAAGACCTGCATGAAAGCACTGTGATATATTATTTTACTGAGTATCAGAAAAACAAGATAAGAGGAGTTGGGTTAAAAATATGCAATGACTATTTCTTCTTGAAGTTTTCTTTGGTGAGTTAATTTTCTATTTAACAAAAAGTTTTCTACTTTCTAGATGTCCATTTTCCTCTTGGATATAGTTGTTCATGGGCAGAATTCAGTCGTCCAAAATGATGACACATACTGATTTCTTTGATTGTTCTTTTCTTTCTTCTCTGATATGGTAACTTTAATAGTTAGTATAGCAGCCACAAAGGCAAAATTATGCAATTTCCTATTCCTTAAAATATTTTCTTCTAATTATTAAGACATTTATCTTGGATTTCTGTGTGTAATAGTATTAGGACAAGTTGTATATTATATTGTAACCTGTAATATAATAGCTAATATTTATATAGCATTGTGGTAGGTAGAATAATCGTTTCCCAAAAGATGTCTACATCCTAATCCCTGAAACTTGTAAGTATGTTATCTGATATGGTGAAAAGAACTTTGTATATGTGACTAAGCAAAGCATCTTGATGGGAAGATTATCCTGGATTACCCCACTGTGCTCAGTGTAATCGCAAGGGTCCTTACTCCTGCAAGAGTGGCTGTAATTAAAAAGTCAAAAAACAATAGATGTTGGTGTGGATGTGGTGAAAAGGGAACACTTTTGCACTGCTGGCCCTTGTGAAAGAGCCATCTGTGGATGTTTCAGTTACAGGGGTTGAAAAGAGGAGAGGTATTTTAGAGGTCTCCGTTGAAGATGATTAGGTTAGACTGCTTAGCAGGCACAGTAGAGGATCTTGTGTTGCGTTCAGCAGACACACAATCTTAGACTTCCAAAGTTCCTAACTCATTCTGTCTGCTTCATTCACTCTTTGGGGTTGCCCTTACTTAGCTCAGAATAGAATCTGATTGGCAATATTTGGAAATTTGCTCCTTATCTGGGCTGCTTCCTTTTATTTTTTATTTTTTATTTTTTTTTGAGATAAGGTCTCACTCTGTCACCCAGGCTGGAGTGCAGTGGCATGCTCCCGGCTCACTGCAGCCTCCACCTCCTGGGTTCAAGCAATCCTCCCACCTCAGCCTCCCAAGTAGCTGGACCACAGGTGCATGCCACCAAGCCTGGCTAATTTTTGTATTTTTTGAACAGAAGGGCTTTTGCCATGTTGTCCAGGCTGGTCTCGAACTCTTAGGCTCAAGTGATCCATCCCCTTTGGCCTCTCAAAGTGCTGAAATTATAGGTGCGAGCTGCAGCCCCAGGCCTGGGCTGCTCCATTTTAATTACCAGCTCTCCATGTGCTTCAAAGGGTTAATATAGTAGGTATTCTGGAGGCATACTATCTTTTATTACTCCCAATTATTCTAAGAGGTATATAATGTTATGATTTCCTTTTCACTATTGAAGAAATTAAGGATTAGAGAGGTTACCTTTGCCGCAGTCTTAGGGTTAGTGAATAGGTTTGATCTTATATCTGTTGGACCTAGGGTACATTCTTCTAACCATTAATCAAGGTTTTGAAACCGAGTGTGGACTGCAGGTGCTATCTGTTCTTATAAAATTTAAATTAATAAAGGAAAGGAGAGCCACTTACCTGTTTATTAAGTTTGTCCACTAGCCTATCTTCCAGAATAACCACAGCAACCCCCTGAACAGATATATTTAGTCTAGAAGTTTCCTGAATCACAACAGCCTGAGGTGCAATGGGATCATGATAAATAACAGCAATAAAACATGCATCTATGGTTTGGTACACAGCAGAAGAATCACTGGAATCCCAAGCTCCTTAGTGAACCTTCCTTGTGTGTGTGTGTGGGGGGGGTGGTGGGGGAGGGTGAGGGGGCGTTTCTGTGTCTTCCCACCTCTCAAGAAGGCGCTTTCCCTCTACCTCTCAAGATGGCACTCTTCTTCTTCTGCTTCCGGGAGGGGTCTGGCTTTTCTGCTTTCCCCAGCGCTCCCTGCCATCTTCCACCCCGAGTTGGCATTTCCATGCACTTTCTGCACTGGTGATGACATCATTGTGGTCCTAGCTGCCTTTCCATTCTGCTCACTGAAGGGGATGGATAATACACTCATACTTTTGTCCTAGATCATTGAGCTGAGCTGAGTTCTTGGTTTCTCTGCATTTTATTTCCCATTTCTTCATGATCCCCTAGTTCCCATTCACCAGGCTCATTCTTCTAAGGACATTCTTAAAGATAATGCCATGCCCTGACTCACACTGAATGTAGAGCCGCAAGGAAGCTCACTCATCCTTGCCTTTCTCTTTCCATTAGGAGCCAGGCCTGGCACGTCAAGGAGTGTCCTCTGTACCATTGCTGTGCTCTGTTTCTGGGCTGCAGCCCTCAGCCTTCATGTTTCTAGCCACTGCGCCTTTCCTGAGACCACTTGGTCCTTCAGACATGCACAGACATTCCTGAATTCTTGATGCTCACATGATTTAGGCCCTGGGAACTTTGCCTCCTACTTTTCATGACTTTTCCTGCTGTGTTTTCCCTTCAACAATCATCTGTTAGATCTTCTTAACACTCTGAAAGCCCTTCCCTTCACTCACCCAACTCCCAACCAATATGGTACCCTTATTTTTCTCTCTTTCATGACTAGTGTTTCTACACTATTACCTTTCCTCAGTCACAGTCCCATATCATGATGTCCAATAAAGTCGTCTACGTTCCTGAAATGAAGTCAAGCCAGTCTTCTGCCTCTGGAAGCTCTTTTGCTCTTATCAAAAGGGTTATAAATTGGGATATTCATACCCTCGTGGATAAGCAGGGCAGTCTTTTGGTGGTAGAGGAAGAAAACTATTGAGCTTCTGTTTATATTGATTTTTCATCTGAACAGTGGTAAAGAGTGCACTGTATAGGTCTTTCCTCTGTGTCTTAACACCGTTGCCATGTGTCTGAATGACAAAAGGTGCTGTATCACAGAGGGTCCCTGAGGGATTCTGAGGAAAAGATGTGCCGGGGCTTGGCAATCACTTGGCCGCTGGGTATCAGCAGAGTAGCACATACTGTAATGTGTGTTTGCCTGGTTACATGGATTACAGGTTATACTATCTGGCATTACTAAGTTAAATCTCATAAAATGTTTAAGTGGCATACAAAAATGGCTACAAAGAGATCACTAAGGTGACGCTAATAATGATGACGAAGGGAAAGGGAAACAATGGCTCTCCTGTGCCCTGTAGAAACTCTCATCAACCAAGTTAGGAGCTAAAAACAATGAATATTTAATCCCATATGAGACAAGAAGTCCAAATAATCAAACAAAACTATTTAACATATGGATTTAAAGTCATTATGGTTGAGAATGAATTGCACTTAAAGATATATACATATATCTGTGCTTTCAGATAGCAGCCATCACACAATTAGCAAGACATTTAAAAGTTAAGAATCTAAAACATTAACAATATTTCAGTGGGTTCTAAAAACTATTGTGCTGCCATTAATAAATAGAAAATAAAATCATTAACAAAATGGTACCAATAAATAAAAATTCGCTTTAAAAATATTTTTTACTTTTATCCTTTTACACTTCAATTTTTCTGTGCATATCTTATATATATGATATAAATATAAGTGTATTATTTATAAATAATGAACTGTTTTTACATATGTGTATTTCTTGAATATTTTTGAACACATGACCAAAAAAGATGCTGGAGTTAGTGTCTTTGAAAGGAAAAAGAAAGGCAGCACATTCTTAGATAAACGTGTATTCAGAACATTTTTAAATCATTACACGTGAATAAGAAAGAATTGATTTTCTTTGTATTTCCTCTCATTCTTTTCTAAATTCAATATCTGTATTCTTATGTTCTCCTTTAAATTGAAATGCCAGGCTGGGCATGGTAGCTCATGCCTATAATCCCAGCACTTTGGGAGGCCAAGGCAGGAGGATCACTTGAGCCCAGGAGTTCAAGACCAGGCAGGGCAACATAGTGAGACTCTATCTCTAAACAAACAAACAAACAAAAATTAGCTGTGGTTCCAGCTACTCAGGAGGCTGAGGTGGGAGGATCACGTGAGCCAGAGAGGTTTAGGCTATAATGGGCCGTGATCTAAAAAAATTAAGAAAAAATAAAATACAAGCCAAGCCAACTTCATCCTAACATTGTAATTCTGTGAAGTCCAACCACGTCACACCTCCCTTTCACACCTTGTGCTGTCTTCCCATCTCAACATCCCTACCATGGCCTTCAGAGCCCTGCAGGCTGTTCCTCACCCACCCCCTCCCAGCCTCCTCTCCTCCTCCTACTTCAGCCTCTTCTTCCCAGCCTCCTCCTCAGGGCTTCAAGGACTCTGCTTCCTCTGCCTGTGCCCTTTGCTTTTCTAATATGTCAGGCCCCTCCTCTCTCAGGCTCCCAGATTTCCACAGGGTTGAAGCCCTGACCTAATTAAACCTTTTCTTAACAACTATTACTTCCTTGGTGAGGCCTTCATTGGCCACCAAAACAACTTCTATCCTTTTCCCTTGCTTTATTTATCTTGTAAGCACTCATCGCCATGCAATATGCTCTCTACTTCTTTTGTCTGGTTTATGTCTGTCATCTTCCAGTAGAACATGTGTTCTATGAGGGCAGGCAATTTTGTTTATTTTCATTTCTAGTGCCTAAACACCGTCTGGCACATTACTCAGGCTTAATAAATAGTTGTTAAATAAATGAACAAATGAATGGTCTGGTATTATACTGTTATACAATTTAACTATTATAGTTTTACAACGTTTGAAAAGAGAGGTTTGTTTTACCCAAAGACTAGGACTTTTTGGAAGTGTTCAATATTATCATCTTGATGCACCTACATCAAGGGCAAAATACTTCAGGAGAAAAGAAGAGGGCAGAAGACTTCAGTGGAAATATTTAGGGCTTTCAACACATAAAGTATTTAATTTTGAAGACCTATGCATCTTTAAATTCCTAGGAAATGTATTTAGAGGAATTCTCTTTTGATAAATTTCTTTCTTAGATTATTGAAAGAACTCTATATAGAAAATGCATAGAAAGGGAAGTTCAAGGAAGTGGAATTAAAAATAGCATATTTAAGGAAGTGATTTCATTGACTCTACTGCATAGAAAAGTCACTAGAAGGGTCTATGGCCATACTACCTGAATGTGCCCAGTCTTGCCTGATCTTGGAAAAGTCACAAAAAGGAAATTCACCCATGGGATCATCGAGGCTCCAGATCTTTGGAAAAATTAAAAGTCCATGGAATAATCCAGGGAGCAACATGACTGGGTGAGTTCATAGAGGAAAGAAGACAATTTTGTGGGTAAGAGTGGAGAGGAGAAACAGCATTAGAGTAACATCCACTTTAGAAAGCAGTGAGTGTTGGGAATAATTTCCTTCTTACAAAACAGTCTGTCCATCTTTTGGAGGGGAGCTAACCGAGGGAATGCCTGAAGAGCAGGGTTTAATTGGTAGAAGACAAATAACTTTTACAGAATTCTAATCAAAGTAATTACCAAACATCACAGAAATTTCTCACACTGAAGGGAATTGATGGCACAGGTCTTTTTCTTTCTTATGAATCTAAGTAATTCTGGCCGAAATGTCACGGGGGAAATAAAAAGTCATGGTGCCCTAAGTTATTTTATCCATTCCATTAGTAACACTCTTTCATCAGCAGGGCGGGCCTTCAGAAAAGGGGTCATGCACCAATTATCATCTGTTGCACACACAACTTGCAGGACATTCCTGACGTTCCACATTTCCAGGACACAACTGAGATACTGCAAAAAACAAACCAGTTACTTTCCCTCTGCCCGCAGAAGACCCCTTGAACAGCATCTTACTCTTCAGCAGCTCCTATAGAAAACCAAGTTATCAATGAGCTCCTAAATAATTGGTATCACTTTTTACTGTTTCTGATTTTTCTCAGGTAGAGACACTAGTTATAGGATATACAATCTTTATTTTGATAGCATTGTTGGATTGACAGAAATTCAACTTGGTATGATATCATGCATGTATTTGAATTTTTTTAAATAAAAAAATTCCTAAATGTAATGATACCTTCATAATTCTGATGCAAGAGCCCTTTAAATTCTGTGTTAATGGAGAAGTATGACTGCCTTCTATGGTAATCCATCAATAATGAGTTGTTATATATTGAAATTTATTATGTGGAAAGAGTTTTCTTGCTAATTTTAATATCTTTGAAGGTAAGAGCTATGTTTAATTTCTCTTTCTTCCCTTACAACTTTGTGTTTGTACATGATAGATACTCAATAAATGTTTTTTAGTTAAATGATAGAATCAATCAATAAATGAAAGATTGAATTAGAGATGAGTATTAAAGACATAGACTCTGTCTCTAAGAACTTTAGAATGTAAATGGGTAGACAAGGCATAGTTTAATAAAGACGTAAACGTGGAATAGTAAGTGTCAAGCAAGTGGTACAGATGATAACTTTTAATGAAGTCCAGCAGAGGAAAGACCTCAGGGTAAAAGTTGAACTTGAACTATACATTAACAAATTAGTAGGAATTCAGTAACTCAAAAAGATGTTAGGATATTACTCGCAGGTACTCCTAGTGATAGAAGAAAAAACCTAGAGATGAAGGAACATTAGATGTGTTCTTGGGATTGTGAAGAGATCAGTTTAGGAGAGGAAGAAAAATAAAGGACATGGATGAGAAATAGGAGTGGAAGAAGAGATTGGAGTCACACTGGGAAGTCTGCAATGCCAAAGGAATCTGGACTTTATCCTATAGGCAAGGTTGAACTGTGTACAATTACAGAATTCATTCCATCATCAACAGGTACTTATGAATTCCAGGCAAGACGCTAGAGACACAAGTTAAGGACATACATAGACACAGTGCATGCCATGGAAGTGATAGGTCCAATGAGTGTGTGATGAGAGTGTGGTAGTTGAATCTATCTAGGCTGACTTAGCACGCAGGGCTGCTGGGACCAAGCCCTGCCTTTTGCTTTGGATATTCTCCACTGTTCCCAGATAAAGAAAATGATGGCAGCATGTAGACCCTTTTTCCCCACTGGAGCTGAAGTTCTACCAGAAAACCTTAGCAATGCTAATTATTAGTGTTTATGAAGGCTTCTGAATCTATCATAAGACATGTAGGAAATTTCTAAATAATTTTCAAGTTCCTCAAAAATCACAGGGAAAAGTTGCCATACTACTTAATACTTGACACATGGAACATGAATATTGTTTCTCCTTCAATCAGAACCTATGATAGAAAATAATTAAGATTTCTTTATATTTTAGTGACTTAAAATGAAAATGAAAGTTTAACTGTTAAAATGAAAACATACAGAGATATTTCATTATTTTTACCCCATATATGGCATGGCAAGAGCCAAAAAGTAACCAATTTAATTTTTGGCAATGTAAAGAATTATCATGGTATTTTAGTATATGTGCTGCTGAGGTGAGTACTATCACGGTATTTTAAATACACATGAAGACACATGCGTCTTCATAACTGTATGACCACAGTCTTTTAACTTTCAAGTAAGAGGAGACTAAATTCTACCATGTTTGCAGAGGAGGTACCTTGGCCCTCACTAGAAATTTAACTTTCTTTAAACACGAACTTCAAGCAAACGAATCTATTCAGAATTTTAATTTGGGTGGTGGGGGGGGGTGCTTTGCTTTTGTAAGAGAGCTTGATAATCTTTCCCTGTTGAGCTCCTCAGTCTCCCAGGCTCCGTGGAGCTGCAGGATGTCATGCACTTGGACAGCAGCCACCTTGGAAAAATCTAAGCAGGCATAACTTGGTGTTAATGACTTTGGTAGCTTAGAGAAATAAAAAACGAGGAGCAGGTCCTCATGCAAGGCCTACGGGGGCGAGGTGGTTTTCCTCTTTGCAGTAAGGTTTGCTCTTTGTAAGAATGCTCAGAGTTAGATTCCTGCTCCTGCTCCAACTGGTTCAGGCTGACAATTGTGAAATGCTTCCCTGCCTGTCCTAATCGAAGGCCCACAACCAGGACCACAGAAGCAACCTTGGTTTGTGATGGACCCTTGTCTAAGGATCAGGTTTCCAGCATCATTTTCTACTTGCAGGTAGTTTTACCTGAATTTCTTCTTAGCTTTCCAGCATTTCCCGTGCCTGGGCCTCAGACAACTGTCTTCCCAATAACCTATGACTGACCTCCTTGGATCCCTGGTTTCTCCCTTGCTCTGACCTCTGCTAAATCCATATGCTGCAGATCTTTTACCTTGACTACCTGGCTCCTGACAGCTGGTTCATGCTTGCCTCAGCCAGGAGTGCAGACTCATACAGTTGTCAGATTTGCTGGTTGGGACCTAGACTTTGATTTCCTTGCTGAGCTGCTCTCCACAGACACCATACAGCTGTAAGACCTTATTCAGAAGGTTATGGAGTCACTTCCTTGGGAAGTTTTCATAAGAAAGGCTGAACAAACTTGCTTAGATAGTATGAGTCTAGCCTTAGACACAACAGCAGCCTTCTAATTTTATGATCCTTACCAACACTCTTACTACAAACCATACCGTGCCATTCTACAAACAATTTCTGTAAGTTGCAAAAATTTCTGACAACCCTATCTCAGGTTCAATTCCAGGTCTCCCTCACATAAGATGTGTCATGTATGTATGGATATAGGTCTCACAAACACTAAAAGAAATGTCAATTTAGGGTAATATATAGAAGCCAAAGCAAAAGACACACAAAAAATGAAGGCCTTATATTCTTCTCTGTCAATATTTCTAGTTAGAAATCCCAATTGACAACACTTATCATTCATTTTACCTTTGGAGAGATTTCTGAGTACTTCCAGTCTCTTTTATTTGAATTATTTTGGCTTGCTTTTTATTTAAGGGATAGAAAAAAAAGGGGGGCATTCTGAATTAAGCCTTCCCACATACATCTGTGTGAGGGAGATAGGTATCCAACATTCCACAGGTGATTCTGTGGCCAAAAAGCTTCAAGAGGGGAGCATGTCTTGAAAACACAGACAAGATGAGTCAATATCAGACATCAGAGACCAGGAGTCCCCTGCTCATGAGCCCCAAGGCACTCCATGGTGGGATGTGAAGAAGCCCTCCCAGGTGAGGTGAGGCAGGCAGTGGGATTTGGCTGAAGGAAGCCTTTCTCTGTCTCCTGGTGTGCTGACTTAGTGCACAGGGCTGCTGGGCCCAAGCCCTGCCTTTCATATTGGACATTTTCCAATCTGCCCAGATAGAGAAAACAAACAATGGCAGCATGAAGAGGGGCCATCTCCAGGTAATTCATCTGACTTCCAACTGTCCAGGGTTCTCCCATCAGAGCTGAAATACTACCCGGCAGACTGGCCATCAGGCAGCCGGACCTGGATATTTCCTTCAGCAGTGCTAATTCCTAGTGTCTTTACAGGAATCCTGACCCAGAAAGTCACCTCAATAGGTAAGAGGTTAAAAAAGCACAAACAGGGGAAACAAACTGGGTGATAAAAATTCTTGAGCCCTGGGGAGCTCAGAAAGGGGATTTGGAGCACAATTCACACTTGGGCCAGCCAGCTCTGTTCACGCTGATAAGTTGTTTTTTGAGAAAAACAAATGAATTCATATCTGATAAACCAGCACATTGATAATACCAAATTCCTTTTCCCTTTCTAAGGCTCTGTCAGGGAGGAGGGATAGATTATTTTTGCTGTGCAGGGGCAGAGAGGGTGGTAAGATTTACTGTAGATGCTACACAATGAAATATTTTTTGGTTTAATCAGTTTTGCAGGAATTGTACTGTTAAATGTCCCTTATTAAGAAATACCTTTATGTCCCCGTAAGAGTATTAGAATGACAGTTGATAAAATCTGTTTTAAAAGTGTTCATTGTTCCCATCACAAGTAAGAGCACCTTGGTTGATCCCAGGAGAGTTTTGATAAATTTTTATGTTTTTGAGGGGTTAGACCAAGTGCTGTTCCTCCTAAATGGTATTTTCTATTGTATATACATGTACATAAAAATTATTCTCCATGTCACCATCCTCAGACACCTAGCAACCAGTGACCCCCTCTCAAACAAAAAAACAAAACAAAACAAAACAAAAAAAACAGAGTCAATAAATTAGCCTGGAGCTGCATTCTGAATGGTAGCTCTCTAGCACTTACATCCATGAGTACTTTACTACATTCGTTAAAAGGTAGAACGCAAGTCAAAAATTCCTGAATAATCTACTGGCTGTAAGCAGGACATATGGAGCAGAAAGAGAGCCCGGTAGAATAATTTTTTCTTCTCTCTGGGTATTTTGAAAATTAGTTTCTATAAAAGATGATGTTTAAGCTGGGTCTTAAAAAGTGGATAGGAAATAGGCAAGTGGAAGTACTCTTCCAAATACACCTAGCACAGTGTATGCATGCTCAATTATTTAGTCATGCATTTATTCAGTCACTCATTAATTCATTCAGCGGAAAAGCTCAATACACACTGAAGATAGAATTCTCAGGCAGATAGACTTGATTGTTTTCATCACACAAGATAACGTAGTCACTTGGCTACAGAGAAGTAGACAATTATAATACAGTGATCAATACTATAGAGGACAAAGAAAGAGAGGCAGGTGCTTCAGCAACAGAGAGTAGAAGGGCAAAGAAAGGTAGGCTCTGTCTTCTACCCTGCCCCCTTTTCAGCCCTTCCTCTCTAAAACACAGAGAAATGTTCTCTTGTCATTGTTTTCATAGCCACGTATCAACTGATTCCTCGGAGTCCCTTAGGAGAGTATCTGATATGATTTTGGCCAAAATATTCAGAATCAAGGTTATATTAATCCACCTATTTTGTTCCCTTGAGTCTAAATTAATGGGTCTTTCTTAAAATATGAATTTGATTTTATTTCTACCACTGAATCCAGGCCCTGGCAGAGGCCCTGCTCAATCCTCATTGCTCAGGGCTGTGGGTTAATGACAGTTTTCAGAGTCCCAGGTACAGTCCTGCTGATTCGTGTTGGGATGTGGATGTCACCCCTGTCTCACCTGCTGCTAGCCCACATAGAAATGAGGTGTCAGATGCCTCTTTGTGCCTCAGTTTCCATTAATTTTAAATAAGAAGTTCAGATTAAAGGAACTCTAAGGTCCCTTCAATCCTTTGACTTTCAAAATTTTCCCTTTCATTCATTTATTGAGAGATGAGTCTTTGAAATCAATGGTGCTTTTGCATCATTAGAGGGCAGACTTCCCTTGGAGTAGGAAATGAAGGAGAGTTTTGAGAAATTAAAATATTTGATATGAAGCATTGGATTCCTCTTCTGATGGGCGAGCACGAGAGAGAGGAGGAATAGAAGAGCGAATGAAGATGATGAAGCAATTACCCACTAACCCTAGAGCAAATGTCCTCTACTGATCAAATTCTTATAGTATAGTGTGTTGAGCTACAAGTCCCATTGGAAGGTCGTGAAATCAGCATTAAAAAATGAAAGAAATTAAAGAGAATAGAAAATAGGCTACATTTTACATGAGAAGAAGAGATACTGTTTCATGAAATTCTTTTTCTTATCCACTATATGTGTGGGGGTGTGTTTACTAAATCACACTACAAAATTTATTTTTCAATGATTGTAAAGGTAACACACTTTAAAAATATTGAGCTAAGGGATTAAATGTTACTTTTAGGTTAAATGTTCAAAATATTTATACGTTAATATGTAAATGGGAGTTTTTGATCTTCTTGAAGCAAAGCAAGAATGCATAGATAAACCAGAGTAATAAGTATTGAAAATCTAGTAATCTTGAGTGAATAAAATACATTCTGTTTCATTGCAGATACAAACATCTACTGGGGAACTCCTAGCATGTTTCCTTAAAAGTCCTTTTTTAAAAAATAAATCTCATTAAACTGAATATTGGCTTTGAAGACAGACAAGCCTGCATTTAGAGCCCAATTTTACCGTTCCCTAGACGTTTGACTTTGAGAAAATTACTTTGCCTCCTTCTACACCTATCAGTTGCTTTATCTTTAAAATTATGGTAATCAGACTGGGCGCGGTGGCTCACGCCTGTAATATCAGCACTTTAAGAGGCTGAGGTGGGCGGATCACGAGGTCAGGAGTTCGAGACCAGCCTGGCCAACAAGGTAAAACCCCATCTCTACTAAAAACACAGGCGTGGTGGTGCGCGCCTGTAATCCCAGCTACTCGAGAGGCTGAGGCAGGAGAATCACTTGAACCTGGGAGGTGAAGATTTCAGTGAGCCGAGATTGTGCCATTGCACTCCAGCCTGGGCAATAGAGTGAGACTCTGTCTCAAAAAAAAAAAAATTATGGTAATCATACTTTGCACACAGAGTTTTTTGATTTTGGTTTTTTTAGGGGGAACTGCTTCATGAAAATTTTCTGAGCAAGGATTTTTTTGGATAAGAACTGAAAAGCTCAGGCAACGAAAGCAAAAATAGACAAACATGTTTATGTCAAACTAAAAAGCTGCACAGCAAAGAAAATAATTAACAGAGTGAAGAGACAACCTATAGAATGGGAGAAAATATTTGCAAATCATGCATCTGACAAAAGGTTAACATCTAGAATATATAAGGAACTCAATTCAATAGAAAAAATATTCGGTTTAAAAATTGGCAAAAGATCTGAAGAGACATTTCTCAAAAGGAGACATACGAATTACCTACAGGTATCTATGAAAAAAATCTTCAACACCTCTAATCATCAGGGAAATGTAAATCAAAACCTCAATGAGATACTACTTTACCCCAGTGAGAATGGTTGTCATCAAAAAGACAAAAAATAACGTATCCTGGTGAAGATGCAGAGAAAAGGGAACTCTTAAACACTGTTGTAGGAATGTAAATTAGTACAGAAAATATGTACAACCGTATGGAGGTTCCTCAAAAAATTAAACATAGAACTACGATGTGAGCCAACAATCACACTATTGGGTTTATAGCCAAGGGAAATAAAATCAGTATGTTGAACAGACATCTGCACTCCCATGTTTATTGCAGCCACATACACAATAGCCGAGATATGAAATCAACCCAAGTGTCCATCCATAGATGAATGAATTTAAAAATGTAGTACATACACATAATGGAATATTATTCACCATAAAGAACAATGAAATCCTATCATTTGCAACAACATGGATGAACCTACAGGGACATTATGTTAAGTGACATAAGCCAAGCACAGAAGGACAAGTATCTAAAAAAGTTGATCTCCAAAAACTGGAGAGTAGAATACTGGTTACCAGAGGCTGGGGAGGGGAAAGAAAGAGGGGGAAATGAAGAGAGGTTGGTCAATGGGTCCCAAGTTACAGTTAGAAAGGAGGAATAAGTTCTGGTGCTGTATATCACAGGAGCGTCATTGTAGTTAACAATAACGTCTTGTATATTTCAAAATAGCTAGAGGAGAATATTTCGAATGTTCTTACCACAAAGAAATGGCAAGTATTTTGAGGTGATGGTTATGCTAATTACTCCAATTTTATTATCACATAAGGCATACATGTACCAAAACATCACTCTGTACCCCATAAATATGTACAATTATTAGGTGTTAATTACAAACACAATTTTACACATTTTATTTTATTTATAATTGACAACTGATACTTGTACATACACACAGTTGTTTTAACAACTAAATCAGCCAATGTATGTCAAGTGTTTAGCCCAGTCTCTGGCACATAGTAAGCTCTCAATTAATGATAGTTTTCATGGTTGAAAGAAAATTAAATAGTTTTTTACTCTCCTAATTAGGAAGCCCAAGCGCAAGACAAGCCGTGTGACAGCTGACGAAACGATGCAGAGCTCACCTCTGAGCAGGCTGAGTCTCTGTGCTCACCTGCCCCTGAGAAATGATGATGAATCAGGTGAGAATAATAAATTAGCACAGATAGCAAACAATAAAAGTTGATCTCAGCTCATATGCATTCCTTCAAACTGCCTCTTCAATCTGGTTAAGAGACTACATCATTTATGGGTTATTTTCCAGTTGAAAAACCAAAGAACAGGCACTCTCTGTTCAAGGTAAGTGAACTGCTGACTTGGGACAATTTACTGCCCTGAATGGGATCCTGCTTCTCACCTCTGTTTCTGGTCATGATTCTGAGGACTAACATAAAACATCATGTTTCCATGCAGTAGCTTTTAGAGTGTCCCATGACAGAGGAGCAGCACATAGGTTATGCAGTTGTTTTTAAAATGAGTGTCCAACAGCGACCAAGCTGAGAATCAAATCAAGAACTCAACCCCTTTTACAATAGCTGCAAAATACACACACACACATACACAAACACACACACACACAAAACAAAAAAACAAAAAAAACTTAGGACTACCTAACCAAGGAGGCGAAAGACCTCTATAAGTGAAACTACAAAACACTGCTGAAAGAAATCATAGATGACACAAACAAATGGAAACACATCCCATGCTCATGGATGGGTAGAATCAATACTGAGAAAATGACCATACTGCCAAAAGCAATCTACAAATTCAATGCAATCCCTATCAAAATACCACCATCATTCTTCACAGAACTAGAAAAAACAATCCTAAAATTCACATGGAACCAAAAAAAGGCCCACATAGCCAAAGCAAGACTAAGCAAAAAAAAAAAAAAAAAAAAAAAAAATCTGGAGGCATTACATTACTTGATTTCAAACTATATTGTTAGGCCATAATCACCAAAACAGCATGGGACTCGTACAAAAATAGGCACATAGACCAGTGGAACAGAGTAGAGAACCCAGAAATAAACCCAAATACTTACAGCCAACTGATCTTCAACAAAGCAAACAAAAACATAAAGTGGGGAAAGGACACCCTATTCAATAAATGGTACTGGGATAATTGGCAAGCCACATGTAGGAGAATGAAACTGAATCCTCATCTCTCACCTTATATAAAAATCAACTCAAGATGGACCAACGACTTAAATCTAAGATCTGGAAACTAAAAATTCTAGAAGATAACGTTGGAAAACCTTCTAGACATTGGCTTAGGCAAGGATTTCATGACCAAGAACCCAAAAGCAAATGCAATAAAAACAAAGATAAATAGCTGGGACTTAATTAAACTAAAGAGCTTTTCCAAGGCAAAAGGAACAGTCAGCAGAGTAAAGAGACAACCCACAGAGTGGGAGAAAATCTTCACAATCTATACATCTGACAAAGGATTAATATCCAGAATTTGTAACAAATATGAATAGACAGTTCTCAAAAGAAGACATACAAATGTCCAACAAACATATGAAAAAATTCTCAACACCACTAATGATCAGGGAAATGCAAATCAAAACCACAATGTGATACCTCCTTACTCCTGCAAGAATGGCCATAATCAAAAAATCAAAAAAATAATAGATATTGGCATGGATGTGGTGATCAGGGAACACTTCTACACTGCTGGTGGGAATGTAAATTAGTACAACCACTATGGAAAACAGTATGGAGATTCCTTAAAGAACTAAAAGTAGAACTACCATTTATTCCAGTAATTCCACTACCGGTTATCTACCCAGAGGAAAATAAGTCATTATATGAAAAAGATACTTGCACATGCATGTTTTTGACAGCATAATTCACAATTGCAAAAATCTGGAACCAACCCAAATGCCCATCAATCAATGAGTGGATAACAAAACTGTGGTATATGTATGATGGAATACTACTCAGCCATAAAAAGGAATGAATTAATGGCATTCACAGCAACCTAGATGAGATTGGAAACTATTATTCTAAGTGAAGTAACTCAGGAATGGAAAACCAAGCATCGTATGTTCTCACTGATAAGTGGGAGCTAAACTATGAGGATGCAAAGGCATAAGAATGACACAATGGGCTTTGGGGGCTCAGAGAAAAGGGTGGGAAGGGTGTGAGGGATAAAATACTACAAATTGGGTGCAGTGTATACTGCTCAGGTGATGGGTGCACCAAAATCTCACACATCACCACTAAAGAACCTTCTCATGTAACCAAACACCACCTGTTCCCCGATAACCTATGGAAATAAAATAAATAAAAATAAAATAAAATGGGCATCTAAAAGCCTTTTATTATTTGTGAATATTGCCAACTGGAAGTGATTAAATTCATGTGACATTCATGAAATATAGAACACCTCTTTAATGGAAGTTCATTTTGAGCCTTTTCTTATGGTCAACAAACCTCAGGGGATCTAGATTTGAAACTTTGCAGAGATTAAGCATCCAGTCTACAAGTTTACATGTGCAGATGAATAGATCAATGGCTTGTCTAAAACACAAAATAGATCACTAATTTTGTTAATTGTAAGATGTTATAGGGATCATCCAGAACAAATCCTTCATTTTACAGACGTGGAAATAAATCCAGAGGCATTAGGCTGCCCAGTTTTTCACATGGATAGTATGTGGCTCAGGACTTGAACTCAGACAGTCTGTCTCCAAGCCCAGTACTCTTCCCCTGTATTCTAGATTCTCAACAATGGGTATGAAGTAAAGGCAGTTCGTATAGTTCAAGGTCATGGCAGGACTATTTGGAGTCGCCTTCACAAAGCAAGCCAGCCAATTCTCACTCAGCCTGGACATAGGACAGACTTTCCAAGAGAGGCAGGAAACTGGGCTTTCTGCCACCCAACATCCCATTTTTCTCTTGAAAATGCAAAAAGAGACTGATTTCATTTCTGAAGGGCACTTGATTATATGATTGAAAAGCCCAGTAATTATTTTTGACCTTCAACCCAATGATTCCACTCCTAGAAATTAATCACTAAAAAAAAGAACCTGGATGAGAGGAAGGATTTAGCTTCAAGAATGGCATAAAGTTGTTTTTACAATGACAAGATCCTGTACCCAAGAGAATTGTTTAAATAAGCTCCGATATATTTATATCATAGTTTATTTTATTTTACAGCCACAAAAATGATATTACAAGAAAATAACATCTAATAACCTGGGGAAATGTTCTGGATATGTTGCTCAGGAAGGTATCTTACAAAACAGCATGTGCAAAATGATTCTTATTTTGTAACAAAAATCTATATTTATACCTATATTTGTTTAATAGAAGGACTCAGATAAAATATCCCAATGTATCAAGAGTCAGCAATAGAATGTTTGGTCATTAATATTTTTGCCTTTAGAGTTTTGTTCTATTTTCCAAAGTTTTGAATATGAACATGCATTATTCCTATAATGAGACTAAAAATATTATTTAAAGCTAAAGTCTTATTTCCTCCCTCAATATGCCTCTGGGGTAGTCCAGTAAGCTGAGGATGTAGGATAGCACTTCAGGCCTTTAATGGTGGTGACAATGAAGGGGACAGAGATAGAGACATAGTCTGAGGATTTATCACATATAGTACTTTCAATCCCTTGGGCTATTGTATCATCAAGCACAAAATTTTTTTCTTAATGGTACCTTCTACAGTGCTTTATAAGTCTCAAACATTTTTTAGACAAAGGCCAAGTTAAGCAGGAAAAAAGGTCCATGACCTACTCAGTCTGTCTATTCACACTTTCCACTAGGAAAATGAACACCTTGGTCTTATAAAAGTGGAAAGAAACAAGATCAAACACATTACAGCAAACTTATTGGCAATATATAAGAATCACTAATCAATGTATGTGAAAAGCATCTGAGCTTATACACATGATTTCACGTTGTGATGCTGTGTCATGTAAACCTGAAACTAACCCAGTAGGATTTTTATTTTTATTTTTTATTTTTTATTTTTGAGACAGAGTCTTGCTCTGTTACCCAGGCTGGAGTCCAGTGGCACGATCTCGGCACACTGCAAGTTCCACCTCCTGGGTTCACGCCATTCTCCTGCCTCAGCCTCCAGAGTAGCTGGGACTACAGGCACCCGCCGCCACGCCCGGCTAATTTTTTTTGTATTTTTAGTAGAGACAGGGTTTCACCGTGTTAGCCAGGATGGTCTTCTCGATCTCCTGACCTCGTGATCTGCCTGCCTCAGCCTCCCAAAGTGCTGGGATTACAGGCGTGAGCCACAGCACCCGGTTGTATTTTTATATTTATCTTGTTAATTTGCTGAAAATTACTTAAATGGAACACATATATAGATGGCAGATGTCACCTGGAAGTGCTATAAGCACATGTTGGGAGCTTATACTTGTGTTAGTGCAAGAGTGTGGGTGATTCATATTTGAACCATAACACATACATATCTTAGTTTAGTGATTGGGAAATTATAGGCCAAAAGTAAACTTCATGGAAAAGTGCGTCACTACACACTATGGGGCCAACTAAATTGCTAATAAATGAAGCTAGACTAATAAATGAAGCTAGAATAATTTGTCATTAAAATGCAAGAATGACAGCCATCAAAAACTGCCCAATCAAGACAAAAGTGCTGAAGCACTAACCTGAAAGCCACCTTCTCAAAAATTTCAGAATTCCAAATCTTGATGCCTATGCCGGTTTCACAGGAGCTGGGCAGTGCCACCAAGAAGCTCAAGTTTTTGTTGAGCATGGGATTAGAATCCTCAGTAAAATCCAACATGTGGCTTTTCTTGGCTCATGAATAGGAAGTCTGTGTAACTTGTAAGACTTTACTTGGCAGGTTAGTACTAAGTGGCCCTGTGTAAAATCGATAACCTTGCACCACCATCTGCCTGTAAGAATTTAGGAAAGGACTCTCATTTTAGCATCAGTGCTCTCTGAGGACCACCAATGTCCCAGGTTCACACTTTAAATCACTGTGAGTTCAGGGCATTCTTGATCAATGTGAAGTCAGGACATGAGCAAGAGCCTAATTCACTGACTCACCCAGCACTTCTGAACTCAGACTGCAGGGCCAGAGGGCAGGCTAAGAAGGCTGCTTTGGAAGAAATATGCAAAACTCCAGGACATTTTCCCCCATTTGCCTTTTGCTCTTTTGTCCTTTTCCATCTCCCACTCCCTGCTCATAGTCTAAGTCATGACAGAAATGGAAGGTTGGTGGTGGAGGACATCCCAGTCCAGTGCTTTTCTTTTTTTTGCTGCTGATTTTTCATTTTCTTGGTTCTTTAACAAGCCATCTGTCATCTCGGAGGAGTAACTTTCCTTTTCAGCTCCCTACACATCTGTATTTCACAGAAATAAAAGGGAAGCTTTAGGATTTTGCCAACAAAGAGATGATGTTGGAACCTCTTTAATAGCCTCCATCTTCAGGGGATTCGTGATTGTGAGAAAATTCCTAACTAGGCCCAAGGAGAAAACCTAGGAATTCTAACCACTAGACAGACACCGTGGTGCCCAAGTCTTTGGAGTCTTTAAGAATTAGCTGGGATTTATGTAATGGGCGGAGGATATGAATTCCAGCATCTGAAAGGGCTTTGTATAACCTCCTCCCTTTAAAAATGGCTTGGCATGTCAGATGTCATCTGGCCCTGACAATTTACATGTCTCCCTCCAGAGGCAGAGGATAATGACAATAGTAGCAGTAGTCTGGGGGCCTCATGGTCTTATGGACACTGAGAGGACAATGGGCCAATGGGCCGAGGCACCAGCTGTGTGGTGTCAGGGCCAGGCTCTGAGGCTAATTAGGGCTACCAGACTTGAGGGTGCCCCTGTTGCTCCTGCTCTCTGCAGGGGCCCCACGGCTGCTGAAACTGCCTGGTCAGAGTGAGTCAGGCCTTGGCACCCTTGGACATTTGTGAATTTTGTCTTCTGGCCCCCTCTCTCCTTCTGTCTTGTCTGTTCTGTGCAGCCTTTTCAGTCTTTTCCAGATTTTTTGATGCTCCTCCTACCCAAACCTGCTCTCAGTAAAGGTACGGATCTTCA
Source organism: Homo sapiens (assembly GCF_000001405.40). Taxonomy (NCBI): domain Eukaryota; kingdom Metazoa; phylum Chordata; class Mammalia; order Primates; family Hominidae; genus Homo; species Homo sapiens. The sequence goes on from NC_000006.12 coordinate 12,404,629, forward strand.
CCTGACATTTGAGGATAAACTTAGGTTGACCACTATCTTTTGAAATGGAAGGATCATTCTCATGTTTTCCTCAAATGATGCAGAGATGATCATGTCCCCTAGAAAGGCTGGAGTTAGTTAATACTTCGGGATTTAGAAAGATTTCTCAAATTCCCTGAAATCACAGGATTGCTACTTCCTTAAATATGATTGACTCCAGGGGGAATTTTTGCAAGGTGTGAATTCAAACTGTAAACCATCACCAGCTGCCTCCAGCTGTCTGTAGAAGGGCTTTCTACAAAGAACTCTGATTTTTTTTCCCCAGAGAAGCTGGGCCAATCCAGAAGTGCTTCTATCATGCCTTTATCTACACTGTCCTGGGGAAGTACTGAGGCAAGTTACCTAAACTCACTGTGCCTCAGTTTTCCTCATTCATAAAATGGATATAATAATAATAATAGCACCATCTTATAGGAGGGTTAAATGTAATAGTATACGTATAAAATCTTTGAAGAGGGCTCGACACACAGAAATTACTCTTAGGCCTAGTTACTGCTTACTTCTGAGGCTTGAGGAGTACAGAATTGGGACCTAACTTTGGAATAGTGCTACAGGATGAGGCTTTTTGTTTTCTATTGTTTTAAAATCAAAAGGATAAAAATTAAGCAGCAGGTCCTCTTTTCTCACTTTGGGCATTTTGGGGCCCACATGGTAGGAACCTACCTCTAGGAGCCCCTTTGGCCTTGAAGAGGTTCTCTTACTCTAGTAGAGTACATGTGGACACAGTCGCATTTAATTTACTGGCTTGATTTGCCATGTACATTTATATATTAATTTTAGTTTGTATCATTTCAACTACTGTTCTAAAAAAGAACAAAATTTTCTCTTGGCATACAATACTTACAAAGAAAAAAAAAGATAAAAAGGAAAATGACAAAAGAGAGAAAGAAAGAGAGAGAAAAAGAAAGAATACATTTTGAGGACGTGTAAATATGCTATTATTATGTTAATCCACAAAATCCTAATGAACCAAGACATGTTTTAGCCACTGCTGCTTCTGCTAAAGGATGTCTGTCTTAGTTAATTGAGTGTTGCTATAAATGAATTCTACAGGCTGGGTACTTGATTTTTAAAAAAGGTTTATTTGGCTCACAATTCTGATGGCTGGGAAGTTCAGGATTGGGCGTCTGCATCTGGTGAGGGATCAGGCTGCTTCCATTCATGGTAAAAGGCAAAGGGGATCCTGCATGTGTGGAGATCACATGGTGAGAGAGGAATCAAGAGGTAGCGGGGAGATGTCAGGCTCTTTTAAACAACCAGCTCTCTTGGTATCTATCAGCATGAGTACTCACTCAACATCAAGGGAGGGCCTTAATCTACCCATAAGGGATCTGTCCCCATGACCCAAACATCTCCCATTGGAAGATTAAATTTCATTATGAGGTTTAGAGGGGACAAACATCTAAACCATAGCAGTGCCCTAGTGCAGATAACACTTCAATATTGTGATTCCATGTTTATGTGCCTGCCTATCTTGCTAGATTTAGCTTTCTGAAGTCTCCTGTATCCTCTTTGTATCCCTTAAAGCCAGCACAGAAGGTGTAACAGGTATGTGCAAACATCTTACCTAGTTATTGACTTAACCTTCAGTTACTGAGAGTAGTTGGAAGGGCTGAGATGTGGGTTATTCTAGGGATATACATTCTAATAGGAGAGAGAGGATCACATGGTATTCAAGAAAAGAGGCCAGGTATGTCAGTGCCTTCTGGAGCCCAGGATGGTGTTGACACCAGATTGCATGGATCTCCACTCTGATATGTCCTTGATGCAGCTCATTTCTCTAATCTCTCTCTCTCTTTCTCTCTCTGTCTCTCTCTCAAAGCAGAAACTGCCAAATGCAACACCTCATTCTGGATGTGGAATCCGGGAGTCTTGACTGCTGTATATTCTCCTACAAATGAACCTTGTTTGGAAGTTCTAGCAGGAGCTACTTGTACACCTGTGAACAAGGAAAGGTCCTCCTCTATTGGGGAAGATCGTCTTCTTCAACCAAGCACACAGCACATGGAGCTGTGTAGAAGGAAGGGGCCACCCACCTAGCCAGCCAGATCAGCCAAATCAACCCTGGGGATCAATGTGATGACAAGTGTCACAGCCAGATCACCCTCACATCCTCCATCTCTTTATGAAATGTCAACTTTGAATGGTGCCAACATCTTTCTGCACCCTCTACCTCTGCTTCCTTTGACCAAGTAGGATGTGCATGGACTGCTTCTGGGCCATGATATGGATGGGGAAGGACCTATGTGTCTGCTCCACCCAGGATCAGCAGCCCAGCATTTTTTCTGCTGTTCATCTGGTGCCTGAAGTGGATGGGAACAAACAAACAACAGCATTTATTGATGGGGTCCCAATGGGACCTTTTTTTCTACATGCCTATGCCATGGGATTAAACATCATCAGAGTTAGAATTTGAGACAAGGTTGTTTTTATGTTCACTCCAGTGACAAAATTTCAACAGATATAACAATGCCTGGAAACAGTGCCTGGGACATGGAAAGTCACATCTCAGAGGAGCCAGCCAATATTTCAAAATCTAAGGGCCTGTCCCACTCCATCTACAACCATAATCATCTTTCTCATCCCTAATAAATCTCCAAGCAACCACACACTATTACTAGTGAGAAAAGCACAGAAATGTACACCCCAAGAGAAAGGATATCTTTAAGGCACTAACCAGAGCTGGTTTGAGTCACCTGGATACAGCACTGTATTTTTGTGGTTTTATTTTTTCTCAACCTTCTAAATTCAGGGTTATCTCGAGATGGGGAGACAAGAAAGCAACAAGTAATCCACAAAGAGGGAAATCTAAAAGGAAGGAGATAAGTTGTGAGCAAAGGACAGTGAGAGACTGATTCTAAGGATGGTGAAGACCAAGAGCAGAAATGCTGTTTTAATAAGTAAAACATTTGCCACATATCCTATTAGAATCTTTGTCCTCCTTGCCTTTAACCCTGCCTCTTAGGGATGGAGAAAGGGAGGTGCCATCAGCATGGGAAGTCACCCCTCAGTGCAGCTCTCCCTCCCTGAGCCTGGCCATTCCCTTCGCCCCCAGCTCCCGGTGGAAATCTGTTATCACAGTACTTGCCACACTACATTGAAGTTGGCTCTTTCTCATGGAAACACATCAGTCCTCTCAAGCATATTACCAACTTATTCATCTTTATACCTTCGGAGCCCAGTCCCTTGTTGAAGAAATATTGTTTGAAAAGAGCTGTAAAATTTCCTCCATAAAACACAGTAAAAAGATATTTTCCATTTGCCCAATTGCTTAAAATTTTTAAATTGGAAGCCATGTATAACTTCCTTTCTTCCTAATCCTGTAAGCACTGAGAGTGACAGTTCTTAATACAGATACAGCAAGAAAAGTTAAAGTTCACGCCAGTACCTGTAGTAGCAATAAGGTACAACACCAAAGTGCGTTATTATTGTGGCTTAGCATATTTCTCCCTTGCTAGGATGAAGTTTGGCGTTGACTGACAGGTCAATACTACCTGAAAACCCCCAGCAAGGCCAAACCCAGCATTAAGAGCTTCTTGTTACAAAGGAGCTGGTAGGGACCCAATCCTTCAGCATCAGAACAAACGGGGAAGATGGGTCCTTTGCTATCAAAACCAAATTCATTCCTGATTTGAGAGTTCTTTATTCTTTCTGGGAGTGCAGTGGTGCGATCTTGGCTCACTGCAACCTCCGCCTCCTGGGTTCAAGAGACTCTCCTGCCTCAGCCTCCTGAGTAGCTGGGATTACAGGCACGAGCCACCACGCCCGGCTAATTTTTTGTATTTTAGTAGAGATGGGGTTTCACCATGTTGCCCAGGCTATTCTCGAACTCCTGAGCTCAGGCGATCCACCCACCTTGACCTCCCAAAGTGCTGGGATTACAGCTGTGAGCCACCGCACCTGGCCCCCCTTTTATATCTTTCTATAAGTTGTCACAAATCAGTTATGGTTGTTACAAGTGTTCCTGGAAGCTAATTGTTGGCCGTCACATTAACAGCAACAATAGAAACTCTCGGGGTGGGTCATGGTCTTTAGCACTACATATCTAAAGTAGATCTTATTTGAAATGGTTTAAAATGAATAGAGGAAATGAGATGGGCACAAGTTGCATAACATCTTTATCACTGTCTCTGCGTTTCATCCTGACGCCCATACCTCTGCATCACCTTCCTCCTGGGTACCCTCCCATTGTGCATGCCCGTATTCTTCTTAGGAGTATTTGGCGTTCTCTGTTCTGCTCAGAATAGCATGCGAAACGACTGCTTGTGGAGCTGCTCTCCATTGTTAGGGAGACAATAAAAGGATGTCTGATAAGCATCTTACGACAGATTTTTTCTACAGCTGAAGCATATTGGCGGCATAATTTTCCAAATTTGCATTCTACCTGTGGCTCCAAGGGGCTAACCTAGACTCCTTGCCAAGGGAGGACATTGTTCCTTCATTTTCTAGAGGCTGCAGGCACTTACCGGATTATTATTGATATTGTCTCAGAGCTGGCTCATTCTCACACTACTAACCGGTAACTATGAATCTCTGGCTGCTCGAAAGACTTTTGCACTGTCTCAATGTTTCAGGAAAACCTCTGTGAGAAGTACACGAGCAGATACAATGTAGTCTGTGTTTTCAAATATGTATTTATATTTAAATATAACATATATTTAAGTAAACATGTAGGAAATCCAGATTGTTTTTTAAAAGATAGATTGAAAATGATGCCTTGCTCTATAGAAGAGTCACAAAAAGAGGACAGAAATTTTTCAGACTCTGATGTAATCGCTATGTTTACTCTGCTGGAAGTTTTCAACAGAGGCTCAACTCCCATTTTCAAGAACATTCTAGAAGGATATATGTTTATGTGAGTTGGAAACTACACTAGACTTTTTTTAACGCTTGTTCTAAGACCCAATTTTTCTCCAACTCCTTTAAATAAAAAAATCCCTATATATTTAAAATATAATTAAATTAAAGAAATTTCAACATCCATGCAAGTCTGTAGGAATGCTTGTTTGCTGAAACAAAACTGTTGTTTATGACTCTTTGACCAACTCTGTTTATTATGTGTGTGCAATGTGTAAGGCATGATACAAATATTTTGGATACCAAGAAGGTAAAGGCACCTCACTTCAATCTGAAATAGCTATTGAGGAGACAAGTCGTAGGTCGATAGATAATTACTTTTTAAAGTCCAAATGGTTGATTAAAACTCTATGCAGGTGATTTGTGGGTTCTGATTAAGGAGAGAAAATTCCAGACTACAATATTAAAAGCTTTCTTTAAAGAAGTGGAATTTAAACTGTCCTCTTTGAAGAATTCTTTTACCTATGTGTTTCTACTGCTTCTTTTTAATCATATATTAATATTAATCATATATTAATAATAATTTCTTTTACCGCTTTCTATGTTTCTCAGAAAATAAAAAAAGTAAAAGGATAGTTAGAATTTCAAATGGTAAACATAATGGGGAAAGGCTGTTATTTATTGACAACCCACAGTTTTAAGAGTCTTTGTAATTATTTAGCATCTTGATTTCATTCCTTCAGTTTACACTTGTTTTCAGCAAAATCATGGCCAAAATAAGAAGAAACAGCAGGAGGCAAATTAATGTCTTAGAAACCCTAGGTCAGAATCATCAAAGGGACAATGATTGCAACATTTTAAAATTGTTGAAAATAGCTAGTATGTTTCCTTCTAATACAATGTGAATAATGAGGAGGAATTTTAGGGATTAGATTGAATTTCTGCATTTTGCAACATTTGGTAAACATAAAGTTCTTCCATTTTCTGTTCACCATATGTGCCATATTTTCTATTAGCATAAAATTCCTGTGACCCTTAAATAATTCAGATTCAGTGACATAACATAATTAAGATTCTGTTAAAGTTAAATAGATGAACAAAATTCTAGTCTTTTCACTTTGAAAGTAAAACAGCTTCTCTGGGCCACTCATATATAGAGATTTCTCTTTCTTGCAAATATTTTTAACAATATAAAATATGTTTTAGAAATCAAATGTTGGTTATGAACTTGCTTCATGATAGAATGATAGTTTCACTTGACCTGTTAATTATTTTAAACTTTTAAATAGAATTCATAAAACGTGCTTCCCACTTACTTCATCTGTTCCCCAAGTAATTGGGTTTCAGTCACTTTTTTGGTCTTGATTTTCTTGGTGAGCCAGAAGGAAGCAAAATCAATGTACAGGAAGCACCCAACTTCATCCACCTGGGGAAAATGAAACCGTTTACATGTATTTGTAGGACATGTACTCAGCCTGATGCTAATGACTCCTTTGTATATAAAGAAGTGAGCCTTAGGGCAAACCCTCAACGAGCTTCCCTTCTTACTAGGAAAAGAGGGCTCCCTGCAAGGGACCTAATTAACCAGTAAGAGCGAACTTGAGTGAGTCAGACTAACAATATTAGGAGTAAGGGATACACAATTGGGAATCAGAGCCATCAGGGAAATGCCCAGGAGAAAGTAGGACCTGAACCGATCTTTGAGATAAACCTCATTCTGGACAACCATGAAATCAACAAACACTGGACAGAGGCCACTATGTGTATAGGCTGGTGAAAAACAATCACTTAAACAAACAGAAACAACATTAAAAACAAACAAACAAAAGGATCCTTCCCGACTGGAGCAGTGGTGCCCTTGGGGAATAGTGGACATAGGTGAGTCAGTAGCCAAGGGGTGGTCAGGTGATGGTGGGCTCTGAAATTTAAACAGAAGAGCGACACAATATGGTGGCCCCTAAACTCCCGTAAGTTCTTTTGAGGAAACCTGGAGAACGATAGGCTGGACAAGGTATTGCACTAGAGTATCAGATAATCTGTTTGGTGTCTCAGTTAATCATAGAAGTAGTTAGGAGGTAAGTTAGGAATAAGTCATCTCATTCTAAGTGGTGTTGGGATTTTTGTTTTTAACTCATAATTTTTCTTGAACTTTTGATAACTGTTGCTGATCAGCTTCTAGCTTAATTCTAAAAGACATTAGGAGTGAAAGAGACAAACAATCATTTGGAATTTGAAAGCTTGTTTTTTGCTTTGTTTTTAAGGAAGACTGGAGCTTCAGGCTCTAGTATTTTATTACATCTATCACATATTTATTATAGTCAGATATGGCAGTGTTCAGAGCAATGACTAAGAACAAAGACCTTAGAGTCAGAGGCAGATTGGGACTGAATCCCAGGTCTGCTTCTCAAAGGCATATCACCTTGAGGAAGTTATTTTATTTACCTGGGTCCCAGTTTCCTCATATACAAAATGGGTACAATGATGATAAAATAATAATAATACCCATCTCATGGAACTACACGTGTATATTTATTATATTTATATTTATGTTTTTATGTAGTTACTAGAACAGTGCTTGGTACAGAAGAAGCAATCAATTAGGTATTAACTATGATTACTTTATAGTCACAAATGTCCTTAATATCGTACCATAATTAAGTACTTAACATTTTATTGTATCTACAGAGAACACTACAAACTCTAGGAATTAGATGAAAAGGTTTGAGAACCACCAAGCCAAAAATGGGAAGCAATTATAATTTTTGTTCAAAAACTGACATGATGAAAATGATTTTTCAGGAGATTAGTTTGCTTTCTTCTCTTTCATTCCTTCTTGGTGTATACATTTTTCCTAAACAATCTTATCCATCTCCATGGTTTCATTTATAGTATTTCTTATACGCTGGCGTGCAAATTTTTTATCTCCAAACCTGACCCTTTTCTCTAGCTCTTAACTTGCGTATTCAATGGCCTAACAGAAATTGATTACTTTTTTAAAGAACTCAGATGCAATGTTTCAATCAAACTCAGCTCTTGTCCAAATCTGTCGCACTGAAAATTCCGATGTACTGGTTTTCAGAATGTGATTTCTACCACCAGCAACAGCATTAGCTGACAGTGTGTTAGAAATGCAAATCCTTGGACTCTACCACAGACCCGCTGAATCAGAAACTCAGGGCAAAGGAGGGGGCAACAATCTGTGTTTTAAAAAGCCCTGCAGGTGATTCTGATGCATGCTAAGGTTTCAGAACTACTGGTCTAGAACTAAGACTTAGTTTTTTTGTTTTGTTTTGTTTTGTTTTGTTTTGAGACAAGAGTTTCTCTCTTTTTGCCAGGCTAGAGTGCAATGGCACAATCTCAGGTCACTGCAACCTCCACCTCCCTGGTTCAAGCGATTCTCCTGCCTCAGCCTCCAGAGTAGCTGGGACTACAGGCAACCACCCACCACGCCTGGCTAAATTTTTTGTATTTTTAGTAGAGATGGGGTTTCGCCATGTTTGCCAAGCTGGTCTCGAATTCCTGGCCTCAGATGATTCGTCCGTCTCAGCCTCCCACAGTATTGGGATTACAGGCGTGAGCCACCATGCCCGGCTAGATTTAGCTTTTTGTATTGGGTGTATTTTGCAACTTCTTCACCCTTCACATAAAGAGTTCAGTTTTTCAAGTAGAAAAAGGTTAGTCTTGTGGACTAAGGGGATCATGGGTGGGAAGGGACAGGACTAGTATCAGCGATATCTACCTGCGGACTACTGAAAGAGTACAGATGAAGGCCTCACCCAGGGCAGGACAGTGGGGTGTTTTATGGCTAAAGCAAGACTGTTCCAAGTTCTGTCCTTTCAAGTGCACTGCTATTTAATATTAACTTCCTCTTTTTATGTATTCTTAATGAGCTTCAATATTTTTAGCAAAATTTTAAAATATTCTAACTATATATTATCATAAATTCTTTTGAAATGTTGAGAAAGGTGGCTCATTTACCAAAGGGGAAATAACTTGCGTAGATTTTCTGAATCATGAGACTTTGTGTCCATTAAAAATGACCTTCAGCCTCTAAAAATAGGCTGGGTGGGGCAGGTGGGAAGATTATTTATATAATTGAGAAAACTGTACCCTTGGAATTTCTCCAAATATTTCTGAATGTATCTGGAAAGAGTTATACACTAAAATCAATGTAAGAATTAGATTGTAAGGTGAAATTAGGCTTTAAAAAGTGTTTATTTTTCATATTTCTAACATAAAAAATAGCAGACATTCTAAAGTTATGTTTTCTGACTATTGATCCTATCAGATGCCAATTTAAGCAAGCCGTTGGCCAAATGATTTTCTCTTTGCAACAGAAATATAAGAACTTTAAAACCTATTTTTTTTAAAATACAGACTTTAATTAGAGCACCAGAAATATCTTCCAGAAAGACAATACGGAATATGGATCATTGTAATTTAAGTTAAACTACATTTTGTCTTCTAATATTCAGAGAAAAGAGGAATAATCAAAGGTAAGTTTCAAGTCAATCTGGAATTTAGTATAATTCATTTTCCAAAAGTATTTTTCCTAGTGCATATAGGAAGCTTGTGGGAAAATTATATCCAGTCATTTCATTTCATTTCTCCTTCATTATTTGCAATAGTTTTTAACTTATTAAGTCTCAACTATGGCCCATGTACTTTCAGGTCTCAGTGTGCTATGTAAAATGTAGCTATAAAAGATAAACAAGACACTGTTTCTGCTTCCAAGGAGCTCATCATCCAGAGGGAAAATAAGAGTATAAAATGAGTACAACACAAAAAATGTTATGTAAGAGTATATTTGGGCCAGGCACAGTGACTCACACCTATAATCCCAGCACTTTGAGAGGACAAGGAGAGGGGATTGCTTGAGCCCAGGAGTTCAAGACCAGCCTAAGCGACATAGTGAGACCTCATCTCTATAAAAAATGAAAAATTAGCTGGAATGTGTCTGTAGGCCCAACCACTTGGGTGGCTGAGGCCAGAAGATCACTTGGGCCCATGAGGTCAAGGCTGCAGTGAGCCATGATTGCACCACTGCATTCCAGCCTGGGCAACAGAGCGAGAACCTGTATTAAAAAAAAAAAAAAATACAGTTGGGCCGGGCACGATGGCTCACACCTGTAATCCCAGCACTTTGGGAGGCTGAGGCAGGAGGATCACCTGTGGATGGGAGTTCAAGACCAGTCTGACCAACATGGAGAAACCCTGTCTCTACTAAAAATACAAAATTAACTGGAAGTGGTGGCGCATGCCTGTAGTCCCAACTACTCTAGAGGCTGAGGCAGGAGAATCACTTGAACCCAGGAGGCAGAGGTTGTGGTGAGCCGAGAGCGCGCCATCGCCACCAGCCTAGGCAACAAGAGCAAAACTCCATCTCAAAAATCAAACAAACAAACAAAAACGCACAATCATACGAAAAACATACACTCAATTTATTATGATAGTCAGTTGATACAAAGTACTGACAAATTTCATAATAAGTTCAAACAGATATTTAAACAATGGCAAAGAAAATTCATGGTTTCTAATGTTAGACAATAAATAATCTTTCTTAAAAAATGTAATCAAATAAGCAAGCATCACCAGACATTAATGAAAACCAACACCAAGAAAATAAATATTTATAAAAACAAATGGTACAAATGATATACGGTACAAATAATAGAAAAAAGAGATAATAGAAAAGGGTTTTGCTTTTTGCATTTTACTTTAAGAGTGAAGGGGGATAATACTGCATTCTTCAAATATGAACATACTGCTGTGACCAAAAGGAGCACTCAGAAAACAAAAGTATCCTTGAAAAATAAAATATGATGATTAAATTTTTGAAAATTAAGAGAAGGACTGGAAAAAACAGGAAGATAGAAATGTGCAAAATTTAAAAAATGATGAGAATTGAAAGATGAATTCAGTAAATCCAACACCTGTTTAGTAAACATTTCAAAAGTGAGAAGAGAGACAATGAGGGGAAGAAATAATCTAAGAAGTAGAAGTTGTAATAGTATCAAAGTCTTCAGAGTAAATACCGAGTTGGATAAATGAAAAAGAAAAGCTGAATGCTGACAAATCAACTTTACTTAGAAATGTGGCAATAAACAACAGATCTAAACACAAAAAGGTCAAAAATAGTTATCTCCTGGGAATGGGACTGGAGATCAGAGAAACTGATGGAAGACTTCCTTTTTACTTAGATATATTCTAAAATGTATGACATTTTAAAAAAATGATGACTAATTCTGGAGAAAAGTTTTACAGAGATGTAATACTTAAGTTGCATTTTAATGGATAGTTAAGCTTTTTCCCCCTTGGGCATAAAAAAGGGTGGTTATTCTAAGCAGAGGGATTGGGAAGAGGCATGGGCATAGGGCATGGCCTATTTTAGAAATGGCAAAGCATTCTGTAGATTGTAGCATCCACGTGAGGGGAGAAGGGGTAGGAAGGAAATGAGACATCTGAGTGAAGTGGGGGCCTGAGCATAAAGGGTCTTGGAAGCTCTGAAGTTTTTGTACAAGCTTTTTCATTTGAGAGCCTGGGAGATGGGTCTGTATTACCCAAAACAGGGGATACTGGAGGCAAAGTAATCTCAAGAGGACACAATGAAAAAGTAATTCTTCAAATATTTAGAAAGAAGAGTCTGTAAAGTGCATGAATAAGTTCCCTGACTTCTTCAGTATGCAGCATACTGAATATATGACTATTACGCTTGGTAGGGGAACTCAGTAAATATTTGCCGATTACTTTGGCACACTATTACCTTGAAAAGATTCAGTAAGATGATTTATCTGAAAACCTCCACTTGTGCTATGCCTTCTAAAGAAAAGAGCTTTTACAAATTTCAGGTCTCAGTGTGTTTTGTAAAACATTGCCCTCATTCTTATTCAGCCCAGACCATCATTCTTGGCATTCTCAAAAATATATACAGGTCATTTTAACCTTGTATGTGATGGATAAACATTCACATCACAGCAGCCAAAAATAATACCCATTTTGATCCTTGTAAATTCTGGGCCAGTTGATGGGCCCTTCAGACTACTGACAACTTTAGATCTTCTCTCTTCTCTGGAAGGGGAACAAGGGGTGGGCTTGTGTTTTTAACCACCCCATCACCTTTAAGTAGGATATGAGTTTACAGAATGGTTTCCTTTATGTGAAAGGTTCTAGGTTTGCTGAGTTTTTCAGTGTGGAAGGAAAGTTCACAATGTAAAATGGTACTAGAAATGTGTGCTAATTTTTCATGTTTTACAAGGGTAAGAGGCAGAAATATGGATCCTTTTCTTGATTTGTAATTAAAGTAGATTCATGGTCCTACTTTCTTATCTAAATAACTGAGGGGTCAAATGTTAATAAGCAGAGATGCCGAGTATTCCAAATAAGGCAAAATGCTGGTCCAGTTGCACTACAATTATTGATACCTGACTCTTACCGAGGGAACTAGATGTCTTTTGATAGCTGGGCCAGCTGCCATCCAGATTCACACAGAGCAAGAGGTAACTGAGGACATCTCTGGACAGACGTCTATTATCACACCTCTTCAATGACCCAAGATCTACAAGCAAACCTTGTATCATATATCTTTTCTTTCCTTATGAGTTGAATTACATGACCCCCCCTAAAACAAAAAAAAAGATATGTTGAAGTCTTAAGCCCTAGTACCTCAGAATGTGACCTTCTATGGAAATTGGGTCATTGCTGATGTAATTAGTGAAAATGAAGTCATATTGGAATAGGCTGGGCTCTTGATTCAACATGACTGATGTTCTTCTAAGACAGCCATGTGAAGACACAGAAACATGGGGAGAAGCCCAAGCGAAGATGAAGGCAGAGACTGGATGATGCTGTCACAAGCCAAGGAATGCCAGAGGCTAACAGGAGCTGGAAGAGGCAAAGAAGGACCTTCCCCTAGAGGCTTCAGAGAGAGGATATCTGAACAGACATCTTGATTTCACACTTCTAGCCTCCAGAACTGTGGGAGAACAGATTTCTGTGGTTTTAAAGCACCCAGTTTGTGGCACTTTGTTACAATAGCCCTAGGAAACTAATACACCTTTCTTGATCCCTAAATATAGATAAACTGGAATGTAGAATTAACCATTTGGTTAAATTCAGCAATGTCATTATATATTAAAATAATTCTCAATATTTTTCAATATTTTCAATACTTTTATCAATAGTTTTTTTTGCAGATGTTATACTTAAGGGTTACATAATTCTTGCTTTATGGACACAGTAATTTATTTTAGAATTTCTCTGTTCAATATTTAACTTGCTCATATTTCATTATTTTTTCTTTTCTGTTCTTGTATTCTAAATACAGTTAGACTGAATATATTGATATGTTAATATTTGTCCACTTCCTTGACTAGTATTTTAGAATAAGTAAATAGAAATGGAGTTACAGGCTCATAGGACATGACATTTTGAAATATTCCTAGTATATGTTATCAAATTGCTTCCCATGGATGTTGTAGCAATTTGTTGCTTGAACTGACATATTAAAAAGGGTCTTTTCCAGAACTGTATCCTAGCAAGAGGGTAGATCCTAAGTATTCTCACACCACACACACAAATGGTGACTGAGCTGAAAAATACGCTAATTTGCTTGATTGTGGTGGTAGTCACCTCACGATGAATATGTATATAAAAACATCACATCTTACACCTTAAATATACACAATTTTTATTTGTTAATTATGCTTCAATCAAGCTGGGAAGGAGGAAGTATTCTCCGCTAATGTGACTAGTGTGGGATTTGTTGCTTTAATTTTCATTACCTTGAATACTAATATGAAACCTTTTTGCCCCATAATGTTTATTAATGCTTAGTACGTATTCTGTGACACTTCTGCTATTGTTCTTCATTATTTTTTCTTAAATAGAGTCTTTGCATGAAATCTATTTGTTCTTTGCATATGGAGTATATTAACATTTTTTAGTGTCCTCATTTGTAATATGAAGGTAGTTAGAATAAGCATCCTCTGGGATTGCAGCAAGAACTACATGTGCTAAATATACCATGTACCAGGCACCTAATAGGTTCTTAATAGTGGGAGCAATTCATTATAATTTCATATGGGGCCTGCGTATACTCTCACTTGCCTGCTTTCAGTTTTGATAGCACAACTGCTTTGACTTTTCAAATAAATCTCATTCTCATTTGTGCAGTCATCTTAGTCTTTTTCTTTTGCATTTTCTGTATACTTTGTTCAGGTTGAACCATGATGGAGGAGTTAGCTGGGCTGGAGACTCAGCATGTAAAAATGCACAGAGGCATAGAAGAAAGTGTATTTTGGGGTAAAGGTTCAAATATTAACTCCATGTGCTGGTAAGCGGGTGTCTTAGACAAGTCCACTCTTCTTTTTGTGCCTCAGTTTCCTGTTTTGTAAAATGGGAAATTAATCATGTTAACTATCTCTTAGGTGGTTGTGAAGAATGAAATAGATGCTATTCATGATCTATTGCTGCATACCACAGTATCTAAAATCCACCAGCTGCTTAAAAGAATAATAATCATTTATTATCTCACATAGTGTCTGCGGGTAAGGGATTCTGGAGAGGTTTAGCTAGGTGGTTCTAGTTTGAGGTTTCAGGAGGTTGTGGTCAAGTAGTCATCTGGGGCTGCAGTCATCTAAGGCTTGATTGAGATAGAAAGATTCACTTCCAACATAATGGCTCATGTGACTAGCAAGTCAGCACTAGTTCCTGGCAGGAAGTTTAAGTTCTTTGCCAGGTGAATCTCTTTCTAGAGCTACTTGAGCATCCTACCAACATGGCAGCTGGTCTCAGCATGACCTAAGAAAGAAAGCAAGGAGAAAGTTGAAATGCCTTTTTGAAATCTCAAAAGTCTCATACCGTCACTTCTGCCACTTTGAAATCATTAGAAGCAAGTCGCTATTGTGACCTACACTCAAGGGAAAGAGAATTAGGCCCCACCTTTTGAGAGAGGAGTGTCAAAGAATTTGTGGACTAATTTTCAAACAACCACATGACCTAATGCATGTTACACACTTGTCTACTTTTTTTGACTAGTATTTTAGAATAAATATATAGAAATGGAGTTACTGGTTCAAAGGGCATGCCATTTAAAAAATATTCCTTGTATATGAGATAGCTTTTAGGAAGAAGTCAAAAGATGCTGTCTATTGTGTCACATACTTCATAGCACTATCATTATCCATAGCACTATCATTAAGGCACTGCAAGTTGTGCGGTAGTGGTGGCTTTGGATACATCTGAGGTATGATAGAAAAAGAATCTTTAAGATACACAGGAGCTAAATAAAAATGGGCCCAGCATGTCATGACACAATGCTTGCATTTTTTTGCAGTAAGTCCTTCCTTTTCAAACTGGGTTACTCCCAAGGCACGTAGGCACAGGGAACAAGTGCTACTTAAAGCAACAGAATAAACACACGTCATCTCTAGTAAAGTGCTATTTTATTTGAAAAACTTTATTTGAAAAAAAAAAGAAGTAGATGTATTAAAAAATAGATTGTAAAGTTGCTTATATTTTAAAGAGGAAACACTAGGTATTATCTTGGTCTTCTGGTGGCCTGCTTTGTACAGTATCTCCTGATCCTGGGTAAATAATTAACTTTTCTTTCCATTTAGGTTACCTTAGTGGAGAAGTTTAGTGACTCAGTTAGTTGATGAGGAGATACTGAAGGATTTAAGGGAGGTTAAGAATCTGATATTTTTAAAAGGTATCTCCATCAAGAATATTGAAAACACTTCTGGAAAAAGAAGAAAGATAAATATTTGAATTTACCCAATAGATATTAAAGGCATTGCAAAACCCTCATAATTAAGCATTTAAAACAAAGCTAATAGAAATATAAAGAAGCAATCCATTTATGAGAGTAGTCACACCAGAAATAAATGACAGTATATGCCTACAATTCTAATAAATAACTAAGATGTCCTCACTAATCAATGAGGGAAGGAATGGATTCAATGCTTGTTGGGGGAAAATTGAGCTCTTTGGGGAAAAAAATCCATCTCAAGCCCTATCTTACATTACTTAGTAAGATAAACTCCAGATAAATGTGATGAGTGTAAAAATAAAATCATAAGAAACTTGAAGACAATTAGATGTGTACTTACTTGCTCTCCAGGTAGGAAGGAATTTCTAAATATAAAAGAAGGATTCTCTAGGGAAAGCAAATCAATCGCTGCATCTGAGTAAGTATTATACTTTTGTGTAATACATTAAACATTTAAAACAAACCACAAATACTGATGGATGGCATTCATTGTGTACCAGCTATGTGCCAAACACCACACTTGGAGCTTTGCCTTCATTGCTTACCCTTAATCCTTACACACAAAAAAACCCACCACAGGCTCAGTCGTACTGCCTCCACTTAACAAATGAGAAAACCGAGACTGCGAGAGATTACATGAGTAATTTGCAATGCTGGCTGCACACTGAATCACTCAGAGAGCTTTACAAAGGCCCGTGCCTAGGCCTCATCCCAGAGCAGTTTAATCAGATTTGCTGGGAATGGCACCTGGGCATAAAATCCTTTGTCCAAAGTCACACAACTGGTAACTGCAGAGACAGAGGCTTTTCTGTGTCCTCAACACCTGGACTTCTCCTATGCCATGTGGAAATTTTCTTGAGGATATAAACAGGCACTTAGTTTTCAAAGGTGGTAAAAACCTGAATGTAGGCTTAACTTAAAGCAGAAGTGATGTGAGATATGAGAGTCTATTTGTAGACCCACCTATAGCAGAGAATCCATAGTCTGTGTTTCTGGAATATCAGTGAAAAAAAGCCTCAGGGCTGGAATAGAAGGATAGCATTTTGATGGTCTAATAATTTTGAAACAATTGGCAATACTTAGACAACTTGAAAGGTG
Source organism: Homo sapiens (assembly GCF_000001405.40). Taxonomy (NCBI): domain Eukaryota; kingdom Metazoa; phylum Chordata; class Mammalia; order Primates; family Hominidae; genus Homo; species Homo sapiens. Next base: position 12,421,331 of record NC_000006.12, read on the forward strand.
TTTGCATGAATCTAATTTCTTAGGCTTATCATCACCGTTGTAACTTCTTCTCTACCAATTGGGACATGACAATACAGACGAGTTACTTTATTGCATAGTTTTTAGGAACACAGATTTTTGGAGACAAACCACCTAATTTTGATTCCCAAATATATTCTTTATAGCTGAGTAATCTTAATTTACTCAACTTCTCCATGGCTCAGTTTTCTCAACTGTAAAATGGGAATAATAATAGTATTGTATTAATGCTGTGTAACAAATCACCTGAAACCATAGTGGCTTAAGATCTCTCCTGGTTTCTCTGGGTAGGAATTCAGGAACATCTTAGTCAGGCAGTTTCAGCTTGGGGTTTCTCTGAGCTGGGGCTGCTGTCATCTGATGGCTCACCTAGGGCTGGAGAATCCACTTCCAAGGTTCACTCACATAAATGACAAAATGTGGCTTATTGTTGGCAGGAAGCTTAAGTTTCTCCCCACAAAGGCCTATAGAGATAGGACTGCTTGAGAGTCCACATCGCATGCCATCTGGCTTCCCCCAGAATAAGTGACCCAAGAGACCAAGGTGGCAATTGTAATGCTTTCTGTGGCTTAGCCTTGAGGTCACACATCATCACTTCTGCAGTATTTCACTGGTCCCACAGATCAACTCTGGTTCAGTGTGGGAGCGAAATACACCCTTGCACCAGAAAGCAGGGATCACTGGGAGCCGTTTTGGACATGGCTATCACAAGTACCTAGTTTATTGGCTTGTTCCAAAGATACATACAATTGACCCTTGAACAACACAGGCTTGAACTACACGGGTCCACTTTTACGCAGATTTTTTTCAGCCAAGTGTGGATTGAAAATACAATATTGGAGGGATGCAAAACCCTTATATACAGAGGGCAGACGTTTTGTGTACTAGGGCTCCTCAGGGCTGACGCGGGGAACCTCAGCATACATGGATTTTGGTATATGCAGGGGTCCTGGAACCAGTCTTCTGTATATACCAAGGGATGACTGCATTAAGGCATATCTCTCTGTATGTGAATATATATAAAGCTCTATATACATACATCTCACACTTAGAATACTAGAACAGAGCTTACACCACAATTAATAATGTTGTAACTAAATCAAAAATTCTGGGAGTGGGGTCTGAGCATTGGTATTAGTATTTTAAAAATCTCTGCATGTGATTAATATGTAGCCAGTTTTGAATATCATATTTCTATCCCAATACTTAGCTTCATGGTGATCAGAAGCCCTGGAACCCTAGTTGAGAGGTTTTCAGCCTTAGTTGCATAGTAGAATCATCTGGATAGCTTTTAAAAATCCAATTGTTCAGGCTACACCCCAGACCAACTCTGTCAGAATCTCTGGGGCATAAGGGCACAGGTCATCAGTATTGTTTTTAAGCTTCTTAGGCAATCCCACTGCAGTCAAGTTTGAGACCCACTACTCTAGTTATTTGACATAGATGACTGTATTACAGTCCCCTCATTTCCTCAGTGAGTTGAGCTCTACTCGGCATTTAGATCCTAGGGACCTAACATCACTTGTTGAAAACAAAAGGAAGACCTTTGACTCGTCTTAATGTGCAGGGAAGTCTGAAGATGGGTAGGAATGTGCAGCATGGCGCCAGTTGTTCTCTGTCTGTGCTGTTTGTCTGGAGGATTCAAGCCTCCAGCATGTCAGCCAGGCTCCTTTGGCCAGAATGCGCCTTCGTGCAAGAGTAGAAACCTCCTAGGCATGTGATCGCTGGGCCAGGAAAATGTCACCCATTGCCAGAAAAAAAACAGCTTTCCACGTAACTAGAGTGAATGGCACATGAAACCAATTTAGCCAGCGTGGTTGGAGAGGCATCAGAAGCATCAAAACATGGCCGCTCTGGAAGCAATGTCTGAAGGGTGTACCTGGTAATGCCCACAGGTGCTGTGCAGGCACAGAACCTGCCTCAATTTTAAGAGCATGGAGCTGTCTGCCTGCTGCTCTGAGTCTGCTTTTGTAAAGGAGCATTAGCTTGCTGCAGAGAACAATTGGTTACAATCTGGGAAAGACAAGCAAAAATGGCAGCTATATTTAAACCAGAAAAATAGTGGATGGATGACAATTTCTAGTGACTTATACCATCAAATTAGACTTAGAAAACTTGTGGTGTGTTGGGAAAAATCTCAATCCTTTTTGCAAATATTTGGGATTGAGGGAAGCTCTTAACAGACTTTGCTCATAGCTTTCTCTCCACAATTTTAAACCTATGTTTGTTTTAAGTAAAGCTTAATCCATGTGTTTCTGATTCCTTTAAGCGTAACTCATCAAAGTCTTTATTTTGGAAAAAAAATCCATTTAACGTTTAAGATGCCTTTGTTTTTTAGCCTTTTAAAGCATTTTCCCCTGTTTGAAAAGGGGCTCAGAGAGCACGTTTGCCAAGTTTAGAGCCCATTCAGTTGCTGTGAATGCAGATTTTTGACCACTGCACAGGATTTAGATTTCTTCGCACTCGCCAAAAATGTGACTTCCTGTTTGTTTTTTTAATACCTAAATCCTTTTTAAAATTGAATTTGGAACTCTCAATGAACCCTGAATGCAGCAGATCTGCCCATCCTTAGACTTTTTTCTCTCTACTATGGAGTTTGTTCATGCATTTATATTATAGTCTTTCTAGCTCTTCGGAACAATTTCTGTTTGTGTTGCTTAGTAACAAAAGAAAAATATTTTGAGCATGTGATAGCACCTTTTATCAAGGATCTAAAAGTTGGCTTCCAAACATGAGCAGAGAGCCATGACAACATGAGTCTTAGATGCCCCATGGTGAATGCAGAACTTAATTTGGAGGAATAAGAAAATGAGAAGTAAGAATGTAAAAGGAGAATGTCTGAACTGAAAGCAGGCCAAATGGGTCTTTAGGAACCCAATAACTGTTTTCTCATAAATTGCTTAAGAAAACCAGTTAGATGTCTCTGTTTCCTCTATATCTTTGAACAAGAGGAAAAGGGAACTGGATTTGTGAATGGGCTGAGTTAAGGTTGTATTGAAGTAATGCAAAACCACCTAATAAAAACTAAAGAAATATTAGTCATACATGTCTGTCTGCATAATGCCATATTACCTGCTATTTGCAATACCTTTCTTTATTAATTTTATTAATTCTAGATGCCACATTCAGATCATCAGAAAGGGGAGAAACTTCAGCTCAAGAATTTTTCATCAATCGTCTTCAGTAAGCTGAAATAAATATTATTTTCATGGATCCTGAAAACAGATATAAAATTTGACCCCTGGATGAGTAATTTGGTCAACAGCATCTTTTGTTGTTGATTGTTATTTGATGATGTGGGGGCATTTATACAGGAATTAAAGTCATCGTTCTTGCCCTTGAAGAACTTACAATTAGGAGAGTTTGTAAAGTTTCACTACCAACTATAAAATACAGGAACAAGATATTCATCCATAAAAATGACAGATGTTCAAGCAACTCAGTATTTGTGGGGTTAAGGAGGAAGAATATTAGCAGATAAAATTAAGAGCCAGGACACCCCGGTAAACAATAGGTATGATTTTTCACACAATAAAGTTTCACTTTTAGAAAAGCAAGATAGAATCTAAATCCTTTAATTTTATACAAATAGTCCCACATTTGACATTTAAAGAAAAAAAACAAGTTGAATATTGCAGTGGAGAAAGGTACAGTATAAAAATTGTTATTGGTAGCTTGAGTTTATTTTCTATAATAAGATTCAACATCAACTATATCTACTTAAATGGGACCAAAACATTTGTATTACACTGATCAATTTTTAAGTGAATGTTATGTAGACCATTTATTAGAATGGTCTTTTATTTGATACAATGTATAAATACATTTCCTTATTTTATTTTATTCTGTTTTATTTGAACAGATGATTTATCTCATGGCTGGGCCCTTAAAATGTCAGTGATTAATACAAACTGCAGTTACCTCTTAAAGAATATGCAGCCACTTTATTAATGAGGAAGAAAATCAAATATTTTTAAGGGAAGACTCTGAGTATTTTTCTTGAGTGGCTAATCCTAATTCAGTTTGCCTTTCAGTTTCCTTTTCTACAAACCAGGGCTGTCACTTGCTGGAAAAGACACGTGGAAAGGATGAATGCTTGAAAAAGAAATTTGAACACCAGAGTCATCAGAATCATTATTCCTAAGAAATTGGTTGCCATTTGAATTCTGCATTGCCTGGCAAGACCAGGGAAGCGGATGCATCTGGCTTAACACAATGAGTGGTAACCAACATCATAGGAGATGTACATAGCTTCCCTAGGCCATTGTGCATGTTGCCTACCACAGTCCCTTATGGCACCAGCCACATCTTAAATGAGAGCCACTGTGTAATTATAACATGACCAGGGTCTACCTGTTGGGATGGGGCACTGTGTTCTTACACCCACCACCTTAGGGTAAGCCTAAGAGGGATTCCAGCACGAATGTACATCTTTCAGAAGAAAAAAAATATTAAGCAAGAAAAGAAAGGTAACATGTCAAATTTGGGTTTTAGTTTGCATCCATTCAAGTGATTAACAAATTCTTATTCAGTACTCATCAGATGCCAAGCACCATCCTAGGTGAAGTGGGTACATTGGAGGGCAAAGTTTCAGACCATGTAAAACGAAATGATTTACTTAGGGTTTCTTTAATGAAATATGTGTTGGAGGAATATTGAACCATGCCAAAGTCCTAAAAATAACTGCAACTAAGCCCAGTATATTTCTATTGCTCTATTTCTTGCAGAAATTAAACATAAAATCATCACCTAATAAAGACATGTGTTGCAAAGCACTCTCATAAATTAGAAGTTAAAATTAAAGCCGTATTTTGAGCAAGGCCATGTAGTATCAACTTGCTGTGGTCCAAAAAACCAGGTTCTGTTTCTAGCTCTATTCAGTGAATTTAGGTGAGTCACTCGATGTCATGGGGCCTTCATTCAAAGTAAAATGCGAATAATTGCTGCCCATCAGCAGCAGACAGTGTTGATTTATCGCTTGCTCTCACTCCTTTTTTCTCATAGTTAGTGCCAAGCCTGGCTGGGAAAAGCATAGTTAGCTTTGACAGACTCTATAATAGAGACAGGCCAGGCTTGCAGCTAGAGGTGACCATGTCATGTAGCAAATAGATGTAAATAGTGATGTAGGTACCCAGTGAGATATAGGATATAAGTAGGTGTCTGCTTATATCCTATGAAGGGGTGGAGAATTCCGGAAAATGTTTACTTTCCTGATAAAAGGAGACACACGTTTTAACCATTTTTTCCTTCTCTCTTCCTTGAATGCAACTGTGATATCGAAAACATGACAACCATGTTGTGACCATGAGATGACAAGCAGGGGACAAAATCCATGTGCTAAAGACGGCCAAACGCATCTGGGAAGACACTACTGAGCAACCGAGTTGACTCCAGCAGTGACTGACCCTCCCCTCCCGATTTCCTGGCATGTGAGAAAAACGCCACCCACTCTCTATTTAGTTAGGTGCGTATTAGTCTGGGACTCTTTCTTGCCACCAAACAGACTGCCATGGGGTGACTCTTCCTGAGTTTGTTTTAAGGACTGCACACAGAAATGACATCAAGTGTATATTTCACATTATTGATTTCATATTCTCATGCTACATATGAGAAACCTTGGGCTCAAAAAGGGTTAAGTGACAGAGTAGCGTTATCCCAGGTCTTCCAAACTGAGATATGTCTTACGATCATGCTTTATGACTTGCTCTCTGTTGAAGCATCCAGAGTATGTCAAAGCCCTTAGAATAACTCTAAACATCTGTCTAGTCCTTTAAAGTGTTCAATACATTTTCAAAAATTTCACCAAGTTTGATTCTCAGAGCAACCCAGTGAGGTAGATATTATTAATATCACCGTTGCATACGATCATTTCCTTTCACTTCTTTCTCAGCCACTGCAGCCGCTGGGTGCAGCAATCCTGCCGTGACAAATGATCAGTTCCCACTCTTTTGATGAGCCCAAGCTCTTTCTTTGCTTCATGTTTCTGCCTTAGTCTGTCTCTACTCACCCCTTATAAAATTCTGTTTTAATTCAGTTGGGTACATAACCACAACATCAGAGAGGATTTTGGCTGTCTGAAGCCAAGGAGCTCTGGAAATCTCACTAGAGAGGCTGTCTACATTGCCAAATAAACTTAAGAAAGGAAAAAATGCTTATAGTATTAGGCATGAAATGTGATTAGAGTGGTCCTGGCCAGAAACCACTTTTACAAAGGCAGTGCCACAGATTCTGAAAGAACTGCAGCTCGCTATTTTTTTTGTTTTCTATCAAACATGCTTACTTAGAGTAAACCTCTTTGCCTCATTTGAGCTAACTCAATTAAATCTTCCACTTGCACACAAAAACACACATTCACCCAAGTTGATGACTGTAAAGTAATGCCACATGCACAAAATCAGCATTGGTTAGCTAGAAATGGATTCTACATGTAATGAAACTTGTCAATTCAATTTAGATATAGAGCAGAGAAGTAACTTTACTTAGAATCTATCCTATGAACTCTGGCTACTGCAACTGTGGTCTCTGGACCAGCAGCATCAATATTACCTTGGAGTTTGTTAGAAATGCAGAATCTCAGGCCCCACTCCAGACCTACAGAGGGAAATGTGAATTTCAACAAGAGCCCTGGGGATGTGTATGCATGTAGAAGTTTGAGAAGAGCTGCGTATCACATAGTTGCATTTGTTATGAGTGCACACAACCCAGTCTTTGTAGAGTGCATCCTTATCATTTTTTCTGTACCTCGTCTGTGGCATCTGAGGAATTCCTGTAACAAAAATGCACTCCCTTCACCCTACATTTTTATTATTCAAAAGTGTTAATTGGTGTAGTATTACTCGCTTTACAGTGAATAAGTTTGAATGCATCCACGTTGAACCCTGGTGGATGTTTCACTGTAGTATTTGTCTTATCTGGTTAGATTTGGATTTGAATTCATAACAGAATTTCTGAGATGACTGATCCTCAAGCACCACTCCAACTCGTAGTCAATTTAGAACATTATGTGAAAACGTGCAATAGGTGCTTATAACATAGCAGTACGTGAAAAAATGGCGTTGGAAGTATTTTTGTTTGTCACATTTTATGATGTTATTGTTCGTACTCTTGAATCTACATTTCAGGAATGGTGGCAGGGTGGAGGGAGAAAGATGGACTATGGCAAATTTTCCTCATAATTTCTTATTAAATGTAACTAATTAATTAATTAATTTTTTTCTTGAGACAGAGTCTCGCACTGTCACCCAGGATGGAGTGCAATGGCTCTATCTTGGCTCACTGAAAACTCTGCCTTCCAGGTTCAAGCGATTCTCCTGCCTCAGCCTCCCAATTAGCTGGGATTACAGGTGCCTGCCACTGTGCCTGGCTAATTTCTTTTTTGTATTTTTAGTAGAGACAGAGTTTCACCATGTTGGTCAGGCTGGTCTGGAACTCCTGACCTCAAGTGATAGTCCCGCCTTGGCCTCCCAAAGTGCTGGGATTAGAGGCATGAGCCACCGCACCAGGCCATAATTTCTTCTTTTAACAGCTATGTACAGGTTATCTACTAGGTTCCCACATTGGCCATAGGAGGAGCATATAAGGAGACACAGTCTCTGTCCTGAAGCTACAGATAGTCATGTGGTAACCACTTGTGTGCAGCTTGACTCCAATGGCACCAGTCACACTCCAGTTTATGTGAGTGGTGCTTTCGGGAGCTGCAGTCTTCCTGGAGTTGTGCAAACCGCAGTCAATAGTGAATAAGGGCAGAAATGTACTAGGAACTCTGGTAGCACAGTGGAGGGACACCTAATATGTACTGAGTGAAGTGTGAGTGTGTGTGTGTACAATGTGTGTTTGTGCATGTGTGCAAGAAGTGTGTGGGTATGGTATGGGATATATGTGTGTAGGATATGTGAGGTGTATACACACACTTTGGGGTTGTGTGTGCATGAAGAGGGTGGGTATGATATGGTATATAATATATGTGTGCATGGATCTGTGGGGTATGTGCGCATTCTTTTGTGTGTGTGTGTGTGTGTGTGTGCATAAAGTGTATGAATATGGTGTGGCATATATGTGTGCCTGAATCTATGAAGTGCATGCACACCCTTCTGTGTGCCTGTGTGTGTGTGTGCATAAAGTGTGTGGCTATGGTATGGTAAATATGTGTGTCTGAATATGTGAAATGTGTGTGCACATGTGTGTGTTGGAGAAAGAAATGGGAGCTTTGGCTTCAGGCAAAGTTTCTGGAAGTAGTGATGCCTGAACTCTTTTTATTCTGCTCCGGTCAGACATTCCTCCCCGTGTCCCAATGTAATTATACTTGCCAAGTCCCCATTGTCTTTGTCATTGTCACACCTGGTGGCTGATACTTAGTCTTTACCGGATCTACCCACTGAATTCCCATCTCAGGAAATAGCAGCTGCTTCGCTCACTTGCTCAGACTGCTAACCTAGGATTTATTCTCGATGCTCTTTCTCTCACACTCCCCATCCCATCCATCCACAGGTCCTGACAGTCTCACCTTCAGTATGTGTCCAGACCTGACCACCTCTCACAGCCTAAACTCCTACCACTGTCAACAGCTGTCTGTTGTCTGCCTTGACACTATCAGAAAAACCTCCCAACTATTCTGCTCTGCCCTTGCCTTCCTTGAGTCTATTTTATACTCAGGCCCCAGAGTGGCCCCTTTAAAATCTAAATTTAATCATGTAATTCATCTACTCAGTATATTCCAGTGGTTTCCTCTTATGCTTAGAATAAAGTTCAAATTCCTTGCCTGTTTTCATCTAGGAGAAATCATTTTGTGAAACAAAGCCTTACCTTTGATTCTTCCTTTCCCTCAATTGCTTATTCAATAGGCCACTCAAATCCATAGCTTCTTCTTTTGTAATGCTTCTTGCATCCATATTCACCTTTCTCTGTCCACTGCTGTTACTTTGACCCAGGACTTTAATACTCCATGCCTGGTTAGTATGGCATTGAAGTTGAGAACTCAGGTTCTGAACTGGGTTCTATGAGATAACTCTTTACTATGCGATAGTGAACATGCTATATAATCTGTCACAGTCTCGGTTTTCTCATCTGTCAAATGGATAGAGTAATGATATCTATCTCATGGAGTTGCTGGAGGATTAAATGAATTAATATACGTAAAACACTTGAGATAGCCCTGCCACATTGTAAGCACTGTTATCAGCACCGGGTATTTTTATTATTAGTCTTTGCATAGCCTGCTATTGGTTCTCTCCGCCATCCAACTATTCTTTACAGCCTCCGACTCCATCTCCACAATCTGCCTAAAAATACTCGCATCACGTTATCTTCTTGCTGAAGGTCAATAATGGGTGCCATTTCCTTTCGTTTACAGGAAAACTGCTCTACCTGGCTTTAGGGGCATCTGTAACTTGGTGCCATCCTGGATGGTCACTCATTTCTCACCACTCCCAAATGTCATTTGTGCTTTAGTTTCTATTCCAAGCACAGTGTGATGGAAAGAACCATAAAAATAAAAAGAAACAAAAAAAAGGAAGCATATCTTAACTGTCACAGAAGATCCAGTTTAGCCTCAGATAGACCTGGATTCCAATTCCAGCTCTGTGGGACCTGGAGCAAGTGACTTGAAAATCTCTTCAAGCCTCAATTTCTTCATCTGTAAAAACTTGAGAATAATAGTTCTATACAGTGTTGTGATGAGTACGAAATAAAATGATATACGTTAGCTGCTTCTAATCCTTCTTTGTAATGAGTCTGAATATAAATAAAATACATTAATTAGGTAAAATATTATGAATGGAATGTAAACAATGAGTTTGACACGTGGGCAAACAAATGGAATGTATGCAAAGGTACCTGGAAAGTATGCAAACACCTGGGGTGCATGCAAAGCACCTGAAAGGCATGCAAGTTTATGAAATGCATGTGAAGAGTTGACATAAATTAGGCTAGCTCATTCCCATACCTTTCCTTAGAGAAAATGCTCCTTGCTTCAGGACATTCCTCTCAACCCTGCCTTCCCATCTTAAAAGTCCAACTCTGATTTTGACATTTGAGAGATGCCTTTTTCAACTCAGAGTTCTCTCTCTCTCTTTTTTTTTTCTTATAATATCTACAACATGCGTTGTCTAGACTGTTAGTTTGGGGTTTATTATGAACTGCCCTGCATTGTCAGTTAAATTTTTTATGTTTGCATGTTTAGTTTATTTAACTAAACTAGTGTGCTTTGTGAGCACAGAAACTATGCCTTTACATTCCCTCAGCATATAGACCAGAACTTTGCAAACAGCAATCCCCAGGTTTATGTTTTTAATTTAATGTGCTATGGAAAAAAAGAACCTTTACCATGCTGACTTGTTAAGTGAATGACATGAACTCTTGGGCATCTCTGCTCTTCTGTATAAGAAGTGTCATGCAACTCTGGATGGGACTGCTGGGCCTCTTGAAGCCATATTGCAAGTTCACCACCCAAGCAAAGAGTCTGGCCCCGGGCATCACTATCAGCATTTAAGCATTTGCTGAGGAAGGAAGCATTGCTGTTTCTGTAATGTGTTTGGACAGAAAGCTCAAGTTAGCTCAGGCCACCTAAACATTATAATAGGATTACTTATAATACATCAAAACCTATGTGGTCTGCACTTGAAGTAAATAACAAGGCAAGTTAGGGCTCTATGTATGCATAACATTTTAAACTAATAAAATCCATATAAACCCAAATCAAAGTTGCCAGATGAGGAAAGAGCAGGCAGTTTCTGGGGATTATTGAAAAAATCTTTTATCTATTATTCATAGAGAGACTTACTCTTGCTGGATCCTATTTTTCTTGTAAGCCCACTCTAAATTCTCCCACTGAAGAGGAGGCAGTTATAATTTGTGCCTAGAACAATCAGGCTTCACATGCTCCACATTGTACACCAGACTTACTCAGAGGAGCACAGTGCTGGGAATGGCTTGGGTGGTGAACTTGCAATATGGCTTCAAGAGGCCCAGCAGTCCCATCCAGAGTTGCATGACACTTCTTATACAGAAGAGCAGAGATGCCCAAGAGTTCATGTCATTCACTTAACAAGTCAGCATGGTAAAGGTTCTTTTTTTCCACAGCACATTAAATTAAAAACATAAACCTTGCATTTATATTTACCTTTCTCTTCCACTACTGTCAGTGGAAGCGGGAGGAACAGAAAAGATAACTATTGGGTACTGGACTTAATTCCTGGGTGATGAAATAATCTGTACAACAAACCTCCATGACATGAGTTTACCTTTATAACAAACCTTCACACATACCCCTGAACCTAAAATACGAGTTTTTAAAAAAAGACCTTAAAACTAAAAAAGGAAAAAAAATGGTGCTTATATGAATACTAGTAACAGCTACATTTATAGAACACTCTACCAAACACAATTCTTAGGCTACATATTATATTGCCTTAGATTCAACTGCATGAGATTCTTAGGCCAATTATGATAACTGCCTAATGAGAATGTTTCTTGAAATAAGAAATGTTTTGGTGGCTGAGTCTTTGACTCATTGAGGACAAATGAATCCATGTGATTTCAAGCATTTTTTTTCTTACTTTGTTTACTTTGAAGAAAGTATTTCAGTAAAACCTAATAACAATGGAGAACTTAGCCTTATGGTGGAATGAATGTATAAATTTTTGGAAACTGATTTTAAAATGCTCTGGCTTTGTATTAATTACTTGTATGTGGAGTTGGGAGGGGCAAAGGGGTATTGGCTAGACAGGAGTACAGGGAGCAGAAATGTATAATCTCTTGATTTTAGCCTCTTTGGTGGAACCTTAGGTCCTCGATTCAAGATGTTTACAGTGTGGTGATTCCTCAGAGACCTAAAGACAGAAATACCATTCAATCCAGCAATCCCATTACTGGGTAAATACCCAAAGAAATATAAATCATTATATCATAAAGACACATGCATATATATGTTTATTACAGCACTATTCAAAATAGAAAAGACATGGAACCAATCTAAATGCCTATTAGTGATAGACTGGATAAAGAAAATGTGATACATATATACCATGGAATACTATGCAGCCATAAAAAAGAACAAGATGATGTCCCTTGAAGGGACATGGATGGAGCAGGAGGCCATTATCCTCAGCAAACTAATGCAGAAACAGAAAACCTAATACCACATTTTCTCACTTATAAGTGGGGGCTAAATGATGAGAACACATGGACACATAGAGAGGAACAACACACAAAGGAACCTATCAGAGAGCAGACATTGGGAGGAGGGAGAGGATCAGGAAAAATAACTAATGGGTACTAGGCTTAATTACCTGGGTGATAATCTGTACAATAAACCCCATGATGCAAGTTTACCTTTGTAACAAATTTGCACATGAACCCCTGAGCTTAAGATAAAAGTTAAAAAAGAGAAAAAAAGAAAGAAAAGATGTTTCTTCTTTTCTAACATTTATGTATGTATGCTACAAATTTCCCTGAAGCATTGCTTTACCTGCGTTTTCCACAATTTGATATCTTGTGTTACTATTCTCATTTCATTCAAAATATTTTCCATTTCCTCTGTGAATTCTACACTAACCCATGAACTACTTAGTGCTGTTTAACTTCTGAATAATTGGAGATTTTCCAGGTATTTTCCTGTTATTAATTTCTAGTTTAATTCCATTGTGATCAGAGAACATACATTGTATGCTTTCAATTTCTTTGAATGTGTTTTGGTCATTCCTTAAATGGCCCAGAATATGATCTGTGGTCTATATTTTATGACTTGAAAGGAGTGTGTACTCTGCTGCTGCTGAGTGAAATGTTCTACAGATATCAACTAGGTCAATTTGGTTGATAGTGATGTTTAGGGCTTTTATATTCTTACTGAATATTATCTTCCTACTTTTTTTTATCAGTTACTCAGAGTAAACTATTGAGTCTTCAACTGTAATTGTGTATTTGGCTTTTTCTCCTTGTAGTTCTATCAGGTCTTCTTCAAATATTTTAAAGCTCTGCTAATAGGAGTGTTAGGTCTTTGTTATTAGTTGACCCTTTTATCATTAAGAAATGACCTTCTATATTACTTGTAATATTCTTTACTCAGAAATCTACTTTGTCTGATATTAGTACAGCCACTCCAGATTTCTTTTGATTAGAATTATTATGGTATATATTTTCCCATCTTTTACTGTTAACCCATTTGTCTTTATATTTAAAGTTAGTTTCTTGTCAGGTTTCACTTTTTTAAACCTAATCTGACAACCTGTATCTTTTAATTGCTATGTTTGAACCATTTATATTTAATGTAATTACAGATATAATTGGGTTTAAATCACCTACTTTGATATTTGTTTTCCGGTGATCTCATCTGTTCTTTTTATCCTTTCTCCTGGTTTACAGCCTGCTTTTAGGTTAAGTATTTTTATAATTCACTTTAATCTTCACTATTGGTTTATAATTTATACATCTTTTAAAAATTATAAGTAATAGTTGCCTGAGGGTTTACAATATACATATTTAATCAATTAAAATTTACCATCAAGGTTGTTCAGCTTCAAGTAAGATGTGAACTCTCTATAGCAATATATTTTGAATTCTACTTCTCATCTTCGTGCTATTGTTGCCATATATTTGTATTTCTTACGGGGTAAACCCGTAAGTACATTGCTAGTATTTTTGAGCTAGACAGTAACATCTTTTACAGTGATTAAAATGTTTAATGTCTTTTATATTAGTCTCCATTTAATCATTCCTAGAAATTTTTATTTTTTAGATCTAAATTTCTGTCTGCTATCATATTCATTCCGCCACAATAACTGCCTTTCATATTTCTTATAGTCAAGGTTTCCTGGAAATAAATTCTCTTAGTTTTGCTTACCCACAAATATTTATTTTACCTTCATGTTTGAAATATATTTTTACAGATTAAAGAAATCTAGATTGATGGCCTTTTTTAAAAACTCTTAACCTTTTAATGATGTCATTCCACTGTTTCCTGGCTTACATATTTTCTGACAAGAAGTCTCTGGTGATTCTGACCTTTGTTTCTTTGTTTGTAGTATGTCCATTTTCTCTGACTGCCTTCAGATTTGCTTTTAATTTTGGTTTCAGAAGTTTGAATATAGTATGCTTAGATACATGTATATGTGTGTGATGCTTTGTATTTATTCTTTTTGCAGTTCTCTGAGATTCTTAGATTGGTGGTTCATGTTTTTTTTTTCAGTTACTATGATTATTTTTCAGTTATTATGATCTCAGTAGATGCCCACATTCTATCTCTTTGGGTGGGCTTGGTCTGAAACAAAATATGGGAGATAATGAAGAATTGTCTCCCAATGGAGACAGGATCTCATGGGCCATTCCATTTTACATCACATTTGGGTTTCTCTGTATTGATAACTGAACTCTGTGTTTTGTGTCCCAAGATGCATTTCCATTTATTCAGTGATGTTTATTGTGGATCTCTTATGTACCAGCAGATGTGCCAGATACTGGAGATATTATGGTGAACAAAACAGATTATAGTCTCTATTTCGCTCCGCTGATAAATAAGATCAGTGGAGGTTTTCAGGCTTTTACCAAGCCATGCAAATTCTCAATGGACTAAACTTCCAGTGATGGGAGAGTTTAGATACTCAGCCCGTAGTGCATGAATGCTGTTTACACTTTCACCACTTGCCTTATTATAATCCTTTTTCTATTATGAATGTCTCTGTAGGAATGTTAATAGTTGACTCTGATGTTTTTAAATGCAAGAACTGCATTTGATGATGTTCTGTTTCCCTGGTGCTTTGCTATAACTTCTTATATAGGTTATTACTATGTAGGTGACATGAGAATTTGTGTGTGTGTGTTTGCCTTTAAGGGTGTCTGCTAGGGTGACTTTAAGGGTGCCCACATGTTATTTCATTAGAAAATGACGGTTCATTCTGCTTTTCCATAGCACGATGAAATGACCAGATAATTTTTATCTGGATGTTTGCCACATCAAAAACTGAATCATTAGGCATAACATGCAAATTCTGATATTTTATCACCAGTGAATTTAACACTTCATAAAATAGATATGGTGCTTCCTATTTCTGTAAATGAAGGTGAGAGATAACAAAACTGAAGGAAGTTTGGATTTGCAAATGACTTGGAACCACAACCACATCCTGAATACTATTTCACCACGTGTTCTTTTCAAAACAGACATAAAAATGTGATATTTTCCTTTTTTTAGTTGCCAGAAATATGAATATGATGGCATTTCATTTCTGACAAAACATCCTAGGGTTACCTATTCCCTTCCCTGCTGCAAAATAATGCCTTTGACTTAGTTAAACCCAGCCAATGTTTTCTTAAAGTTTGCCCCTTGATTTTAAATTCTATAAATGTATCTTTATGTATATATATTCATACACACACAACACATAAACTATACTCTTTATTCATTTATCCCTAAGTTATATATGCCTTGAATAGATGTTTCTATGTTGCATTCTAAGGTGCCCAAGGTGGCTTGTCAAGATGCCTTTGTAAGCGCTGACCTTTGAACCCAGGTATTATGTTTTACCAGCATTCAGCTGGGGAAGGGCCAAAGTTCAACTTTCAACTCTTAACATGTGCTGCTTGATTTGAATTTGAAACTTGGCACTGTGTGTCCTCCTGTGCCTGGTTATTATTCTTGGAATGCAAAAAGGTACATGTTTTTGTAATTCTCTGAGGAACTTCTCTATGGCTTTTCCAGAACCTAAGTCTTATTTGGTTCCAAGGGTGAAAACTCATTTTTTAGCAGCTCTCAGACAGATGGGTGCTATTTTTGAAATCCATACAGTCTTTCCTGCTTGCTAGGTTCTATTGAATGGTCTGTGTCACTACCACAGAAATACACTTAATGCATTTGTTCTTCCCTTGCTGCTTAGAGGTCTGTAATTTCCACCCAAAACACTGAAGCAGCCCCAAAGAGGAAAGGGAGAGCTAATTCATTTGCAGGTGAACTTTAGTCAACAATTCTGAACTTCCACAGATTCCATTTCAACATTTGTTTGGAAGCTCAGGCATTATGAATAATAGGAATATGACACTTGCAACTACCAATATAGCCTAGGAGAGGAAAATAAAAGATGAAATAGATGCATATGCTATGATATTTACATCTGTTAAGTTCTTGAAAGAGTATGGATAGATTAAGGTTTAGGAAATTAAATTACATTTTAAATGCAACCAGAAAGCATGTCAGAAAAACACTCTTGTGAAGTAAAAAACTCCTTCTTTATTTAAAGGACCACTTGGTTTATATTTTGTGATTCAATGTTTGTAGAACTATAACTTTAGCTATCTGAAACTCACCTATTCTGTAACTCCTCTTATTCGGAAAATAACCCAGAGACACAAAATAAGCAAAAGGTATTGCCACAGGCTAAAAGCAATATCACAATGTTTGTGCACTAAAGCCCAGGAACTTGACTTCGAGGCCAGCCCATTTCAAGACCTGTTCATTATTAGTTCACACACATTTCCAAAAACTAGCTATCTTCATCTGTTATTTGTATTAGTTTTCTCCAGGCTGTTCTAACAAATACTATAGACTGGGTGAATTAAACAATATAAATTAATTTCTTCCCAGTTGTGGAGGCTGGAGGCCCAAGATCAGGGTGTCTGCAGGGTTGGTTTCACTCTGAGGCCATTTTCCTTGACAGCCTTCTTCCTGTGTATTCATATGGTATTTATTCTATGCATGTACATGTCTGCATCTATATTTCCTCTTCTTATTAAGGACACTAGTCATGTTGCATTAGGGCCCACTCTCAAGATCTCATTTTAATTTAATTACCCCTTTAATGACCTTATTTCCAAATATGGTTATATGCTAAGGAACTGGGGGTAAAACTTCCACATATAAGTTTAGGAGGAAGGATACAGTTCAGGCCTGAATACAGCAGCTTTGAAGAAGAAAACAGAAGCAGTGACTGAAGAAAGGGCATTAGTCAAGTATGCTAGTAACAGCAATAAGCAATTGCCCAAAGAAAAAAAAAAGAGATAGCAAATTTAATTTAAAAGCTTATATGAGTATATTGAAAAGCACAAAAACCGGTGTTAAATATCTTTGCATCTCTCAGCAGGTCCTAAGGTCATGTTGGTATAACTGCAGAATTAAAACTAAGACATCAAGTAAAGGTAAACTGTTCATCATATAGAAGTAGCAAGTTCCCATAGAATGACAGATGGGAGCTTAAGCCCCAACATTGTCACTTGGATGTCACTTAAACTCTCTGTTTGTTTTCTCATTCGTATCTTGAGAATAAAAATATCTGTGCAAATACCAGAGGTAAAGAAGTCACCTATGGGTACTTCATAAACATAAGCATTCTCCACAGAATAAGCTCTTAGATCCAAGAAGGCATGAAAATATGTATTACAATTAAATAAAATTTAGATTTGCATATCAAATTATCAAACAGGAAAAATTTTTAATTTTTACCGAGTTATACCCTCAATTATCTGGAAAACTGATTTTTATAAATAAGCTGAGTCAATATCTAAGATTTCCCTAAACTAAGAACTTATTGCAAATAAATTTTTTAAGGCAGAGCATAATTACTTGTTAAAATAATCAAATGAGGTACTTCTGGCTATATCATCCTGTATCCAAATCCAAGAAATAGAAGATGTAGGAAGTAACATACAGCTGAAAAAGCTCTGCTCTGTAACTCAAAGGAATTGGATTCTCACTGGAACATTGCAACTACTGTTAATTTTGTTTTTTCTGGGTCCTTTTCCATGCCTTTAAAAGAAAGCTATAAAACCAGATGGTTTCCATGATGCCTTCTAATACTAAAATTTTATGAAAACTCATTTCTAATTCCTTTGTTCTCACTTTATAGAATTGGGGAAAATCTAAAAAAGACATCGCCTCCATTCACTTATCACTTCCAATTACCCTTCACCAGTTTGTGGAGAATGTGGAATACCAGGAAGCCTGGTCTCCACCTACACAGCCAGCTGTCTTGTTATGGCAACCTTGACTCTCTGAATTGAGTCTTAGATATCTGGTCCTTGGGTAGGGACTTTCAGGAAAACACATGATTGTCATATCTAAATCTGATAATGGGTAGGTTGCCATCTTAAGCTGTTAAGTCCTCCTCAGCAAGGCACCAGACCCTGCCCTCTGTCAGAGGCATGCTAATCTCTGATATTCAGAAACAACCAGATGATCTGACAAGTCATTGCATGCATATAGATTGTGTCAAGAAAAACATGCCTTTAAATGCTGTCAGCAATTTAGTAACCACAGAAACCCAGCATCCCCAGTCATTCTCTTTGTCTAAAGTCCTGAGAAGAAAGTCCTTATCCTAGATGGAAGCACACCTACAAGATCCTCTTGGCTTGAAGACAATAAGAAGCTACCAGGTGTTAGAAAATAAGTTGTTCAATCCCTCCACCTAACGGACCTAAGAATTTGAGGTTGGTAACAGAAATGGTTAACAAGTATTTTCTCAGGCTCTAAGGGATACCAGATCTCAACTTTCACAGAGGTTACAACCCAAGAGTGAAAGAATAGCTTGAATTGATTTAAGCTGATATCGGGGATTTAGGAAACAGGGCCAATGCTTTTCTAATAGAACCTATAGTACAGATTTTTAATTTTTTAATTGGCACATTCTAATTGTATATATTGATAGGGGTACAATGTGATGTTTTGATACATATATAGGTTGTAAAATAATCAACTCAGGGTAGCGTATTCATCACTTCATGTATTTATTATTTCTATGTGGTAAGAACATCCAAATGCCTCTCTTCTAACTATTTTGTGAAACACAATACCTGACTGTTAGCCATAGTCGCCCTGCTATGCAATAGAACACCAGAGCTTATTCCTCTGAGATAATTGTAACTTTAAGAGTACAGATTTTGAACTCCCAAAGGCAATTCAAATTTAACGTATCAGCAAACAAACTCATTATTCACAACCTCCTGAAGAAGATTTCTCTTCTTAATCACCCAAGGCAAAATGTAAACCTCTTCTATGCAATCAGTAACTAGGATGGACCTACTGATTCCATCCCCTAGGTATTTCTGAAGTCCATTCCATTCTCCTGTTTTCAGTATCATCACCCTAGTTAACAGCTTTGCTTTGCCTCTAGTCTTACCAACCTCTAAATTATCCTTTACACAATCAACAGAGCATCTAAATAAAATGCAAATTTAACCACATCACTCCTATGCCTAAAACTCCTCAATAGTTCCCCATTTTCTGCGATAAAAGCTCAAGCTCCATAGAAGGACACAGACAGCTGTCCATTACCTGAGCCCTTAGATATGGCCACTCCATCCATTTCCTTCCCATTTTCCATTTCCAACCTCCCATTCTGGCTTTATGACATATTGATACCAGCCCATTAATGTTTCTTTACACATTGCTTTAACATGCTTCATCTTAGAAATGCAACATAACTTTTATAGCTTAAGTATCTTATAGCAATTTCATTTATTTTCAGGAACAAATAAGTTCTGGATGAGTTTAAATGGTAAAAGCCATTTCTTTCACTGGATCATTATTTATTAAGCCAAGTATTTAGGTTTTAGGACTTTGCAATGAAGATAGAACCCTAGATTAAAGAAAGGTAACAGCAACCTTTATAGGCCAGTAAACTGTTTTCCACTATCATAATCTTTTTTCACCATACCAGGCGAAGTGACAGTGAGTAAGATAAATTGATTTATAGAGTACATGTTTAGAAAAAGTAGACCAACCAAGTAATAGTTTTTAATAAGCCTAGTTTAGTGTAGAGGCTTTCTCTCCATAAGCATAAGCATCACCAATATTGGGGTGAAATGGGGGAGGTGGTGGAAGGAACATGAGCTACTGTCCATGGTCCTGATACAAAAATACGCATTATGACATGGCTGTTCTCTGTGAGCCATGTGCCTTCTTCCCTGTTTCTATCACCCTTCAGCACCCAAGAGTCATATCAGTATGGCTAGCTGTAGTTTGTTGAGTGAGTCAGTGGTTTAAGTGAGTTCTGTTATGGATTGAATCATGTGTCCCAAAAAGATACTGTGAAGTCCTAAACTCTAGAACGTGTAAATGTGACCTCCTACAGAAATAGTCTTTGCAGATGTAATCAGAAATACAGTGAGATCACCTTGGATTATGTTGGCTCTGATTCAGTGACTGGTATTGTTATAGGAGGAGGAGAATTTGGACACAGACATACGGGGAAGGCCATGAGAATTAGAAGAAGAGATCGGAGTGATGCATCTATAAGCCAAGTAGCACCAAGGATTGCTGGCAGCAGCAGAAACTAGAGGAGAAAAGGAAGGATTCCTTCCCTAGAGCTGCCAGAGAACAGATGTCTTTACCAACACCTTGATTTCAGACTTTTATCCTCTAGAACTATGAGAAAGTAGACTTCTGGTGTTCTAAGTGACCCAGCCTGTGGTAGTTTATTAGGGCAGCCCTAAGAAACTAACAGAAGGACACTATAAATACCCCTTTGAATTTTTTATTTTGGTGTCATTTTATAGCCCTAAACATTAGCTAATTATCTTTCATCAAAATTTATGTTTTAGTGTATTTATTATTATGTATAAACGATAATACTGCTCAGAACCAAAATATAAACATGCCTACCAGCAAAGGACCTGCCAGGCTTTAGGTTTGACTTCCATGATACTTCTCTATTTATGCTTCAGTTTAGGCATAAGAGCACACGGAGCTTTAATTTTCTTTCTTTTTTTTTTTTGAGACAGAGTCTTGCTCTGTCACCCAGGCTGGAGTGCAGTGGCGCGATCCTGGCTCACTACAAGCTCCGCCTCCCAGGTTCAAGCGATTCTCCTGTCTCAGCCTCCCAAGTAGCTGGGATTACAGGTGCACATCACAATGTCCAGCTAATTTTTTTTTTTTGTATTTTTAGTAGAGATGGGGTTTTGCCATGTTGGCCAAGCTGGACTCGAACTCCTGACCCCAGGTGATCCGCCCTCCTCGGCCTCCCAAAGTGCTGGGATTACAGGCGTGAGCCACCGCGCCTGGCCACATCTTTAATGGAATAAAATAGACAGGCTTGTAGTATTCAAAATTAGTGGTGATTTGTGGGTAATTTGCAGGATTTTGCTTTTCTACTTTTCTTTCTGGGATCCTCAATGCTTAAGCATTTCTCTAAAAATTAGTAGTGGTTAATATATCTACTTACTATTTTGTGACATTGTTAGATAAATAAATAATAAGAATTGTCTCTCAAGTATCTTTCAGGTCCCTCCTGCACTAGGGGAGAGACTGGTGAAACAGATGCCAGGCAGAAAGGGTGGGATGGTGGACACACCCTACTTTGCAAATTGTTAACGTCTCTCATGACTTTGTTCCTTCTGACTGCAGTGATAACAGTCTAGTTTCTCCCCCGCACGCATGCATTCAGAGGCCAAGAAGGCTATCATTTTGTTACTTATGAGAACCTAGAAGAATTTCAGTCTTCTCATCTGGGGTGTGTATGTGACCAAGAGGCGTGTGCCCAAAGCTCTGCTTACTGATGTTATCAAGACATCCTATAGAGGATACTGTTGAAGAGTTTCCTGTTCATTTAGAACAGAACAGCCAGATTGAGTTTTCAGACAATGTAGTTGGGAGAGGTGATGCTGACAGGCAGCACGTTAACTCAGAAAAAGTCATTTGCATGATTGACTACAGGGTATCTAATTCTTAGATTGTTTTTACTCCTTTTTATTTTTTTTAAGGGAGTGGTCTTTGTTCCCCTTGTGATTTTCCTATGGATTTTAAAACACATTGTCTTACCCAGTGTAAATACAGAAGATGTCTCCAGGGAACAACTTCCTCAGATGAATTTTCTGTGTGAATTTTGGAACTGGCATCCAAGTCCATTACGTAGACAGATTGACTTCAGAGGAGTTGCTGTCAGGTTGGGGTGCCAGCTTATTAGAATCTGAACTCCCATAAGACTTATGTATGTCATGTCTATCATTTGCAAACATACACAGTGAAATCTTGAACTTTATTCAAGATTACCTTCACTGTAGCTCATTGGAATTGGTAGTGTTTGAAAATAATTGGCTCTGACTTATGAGATGTCACTCTAGAATCTTACTCTTTTCCTTAAGCCTCTGTGGATAAGTAAAATAATTATTTTCTCTCCAAAAATGTTTGCTGGGTGAACAAATGACTTGTTTAATAGAATTGTTTCTGTGTCTCTTGTTTGAGTATGGAGTATTCTTTTGATGTTTGTATGATTGTGGCTTCCAGATCAAGCTAAAAAAATCATGTCTTAAGAGCAATAAATTCTGTTTCTATCAGTCATTTTTCTAAGTTAAAGAACTCACCATAATATTCTTTTGTTCAAAAGTCTTTGAATTGTTGACTCAGCTACTGAAATGCTTTGCCACTTAACATCTCACTTTGTTTGATCTTTCCCATCTATATAATCAGCAGCACAATGTATGCTGTCCCTTACATTAGAAAGTGACTGTCCCCAAGGGGAAAACGATTTGTGTATAATGACACAGCACATGCTCTGGGATAAGACAAGTAAGAAAATAAGTCTTACCTGATTGCCAGGAAGGGGTACCTTGAAAACCACTTACATGTTCTTTAATAATGATAGAGCTCATAAGCTTAGTGTGGGATGGATATCCAGGAGATTGTAAAACGATTTGATTCTTGATTGAGTTTCAGCAAGGCATATTGACAAACTTGTATAATATGCTTGTAGACAAGATAGAGACTCTCGTACACACTGATTTACATGTGGGCTGTATTCAAAGAAGCATAATACTCATAACAAGGTACATATTTGTTCCTCCCAGATTTGCCTTCGCATATCATTCTTGGGGCTGTGGTGGTGCCATGCTTTACAAAGAAATTGAGTACTTGGAATGTGTCCAGAAAAGAGAAACTAGAATGATTAGAAGATTCAAATTTGAGTCATTGAAAGGAAGGCTGAGTAAATTCAGAATATTTTTCATGGATGACAGCAGACATGAAAAGAAGGTAAAATGCTGAACAGTATGGTGGGTCAATATATTGAAGAAGGGTTAATACTCTATGTGGCTTTTTTGATTTAAAAAGGCAGCAGGGGACAGAAGGAAAAAGTAAGAGCCTAGAAGTCAGAACTGGGTTTATTGTCATATCACTTTCTAGCCATGTGGGGCTGGACAAATTGTTTAACCTGTCTGAATTTTAATTTCATGATCTATAAAGGGAGGATAATTGTGCCTACCTTGAGAAGATTAAAAGACAGGTATTAAAACATGTAGTAGGTACTATTATTTCAAAGAATTAGAACTAATGTCTAGAAGGTCCTGGGAAGTAATTTTGCTCCACTATAAAGAAGAGCTTTCGGCCGGGCGCGGTGGCTCATGCCTGTAATCCCAGCACTTTGGGAGACCGAGGCAGGCGGATCACGAGGTCAGCAGATCGAGACCATCCTGGCAGTGAAATATCGTCTCTACTGAAAAAACAAAATATAAGCCGGGCGTAGTGGCGCTTGCCTGTAGTCTCAGCTACTCGGGAGGCTGAGGCAGGAGAATTGCTTGAACCCGGGAGGCGGAGCTTGCAATGAACCGAGATCGCGGCACTGCACTCCAGCCTGGGCGACAGGGCAAGACTCCATTTCAAAAAAAAAAAAAGAACTTTTCTGTTTTCAAGGCATTCCAACAATAAAGTGGGAGTGAATTCGTCCTTGCTGGAGTGTTCAGAGTCTGGTGCGTAACTTGGCTGGTCTGTGTAATTTTTCTCCCAATCTTCCTGTATTGTGTCCACCTTTACTGTCTCCTGGATAATCAAGGTACAAGTGAGAGAGTAGCATTTAATTTAAAGAAAAGCATCCTTAATTCTGATCTACTTCGTTGGTTGCTAATTCAACCTTGTCGAAAGAATTTTTTCATTTATTCATAATTTGGATTTGTTAGTTTATTTTAGCCAGTTATGCCTGCAAATGTATTTCTTTTAATACAAGATCAGTGACTCTCACCCAATCAAATGACTATAGACTAAGAAGAGTGTTCATTTCTCCTAAACTTAGAATTCAGAAATCAGTTGAATTGCTCCAAACCAAATATACACTGTTTTCTCCATGGGGAATTATTGCCTCTTAAGAAAATAAAACTGAATGTGGGAATACATCATTTTTTATTTTCAGAAACAAAATGAAAACTCAACTTTATATTACCTTAAAGGAAATGTATAAATGATTATGTATGAGGTACAGAGAGTCCCAGCAGAACATTGAATCTAAGTTATAACACCATCAAGACATGCACGTGTAATTTATGTGCCATTAAGGATACTTACATGAATTTCATTAATATTAAAAAATAAATTGTTGCTAACTCTGTGAGGATAAACTATCTTTCTTTAGTGACTTTTAAAAACCATCCTGGGTGCATAATGAGAACTATTGAGAGAATCAAGATTCTATGTACACAAATTAATGTGTGTAATCACCCACTGTTGGCTGCTTATATTATTGTCCAAGTCAACACATATTGATAAATTAAAGCAGTATGTATATAACTAATACACTGTAGAGAGGCAACATAGTGGGTTTTTAAAAAGACTCTAAGGGTTTTGTTAAATGCAATACAAAGGGTGATTCTAAAACATGGTCAAGGTTAGAAATCATCCAACCCTAAAGGATTGGACATTTAAAATTTCTTTCTTGACAGTGAATTTATTCTCCCAAATAATGTGTATTTTAAAAGCTTTGGGAAACATACCCAGAGATCAAAACAATTTCATCATTGCATTTTCCTCTAAATAATGTAAGATGAAACGAATTAGATGAATTTTCCCTGTAACAGGGAAAGTCATCGTATTTTCTCCTCTCAAATAGGAATTGACTGAAAATCAATTGAGACATCCCCTTGGCCGACAAGTTGGTCTTTCCAAAGAAATTTTTGAAATTCTTTGAGATTAGGTGAGCCCCATTTCTCAAGTGCCTCAGGTAAGGAGAATCACTCTTAGGTATGAACAGATAAATCAATCTCTGCATTATCCTGTTCTGCCTATTGTGCAAATGTGTCAATCATTCCCTTAGAAAGCAAACACTTGAAAACAGGAGTAAAATTCTTGTGAGCATTACATAACATCTATGGAGATAGGTAGGTAGGTAGGTAGATAGATAGATAGACAGATAGATAGATGTCTCATCAGTTTCCTTAAACTTTAAGAAATGTTATTTTAATCAAAGCAAAAGAGAAATTTGCTCTCTCTTTCATAGGTGCTTCAGGAAGCTATGAGTGGCTCACTTTGAGGTTTGTGAGTATGTGTGTGATACTTCTCCAAATTCAAAAGTGATTTTGAGTTTAGAGAAGTTAAATAATTCTGCCAAGCATACAACAAAGGTGCTAAGTGGTAGAGCTAGAGCTCAAACCCAAGTGAGATCATCTAGACACACTCTCCTTGTTTTTCTCTGGAAAGCACACTCTCTCCTCTGAAAACATTCCCAGCCCCTTTTCTGACTGCATTTCCTCTGTTTCACTTCTAAACATCGGGTTCCTTGGGGCTGTGGACTGGACCTTCTTCTCTGCGTATGCTCCTTACCTGGGCAACCTCATCTCTTCCCACACACATAAATACCAGCGGAATGTTGACGGTTCCCAATTTTCATCTCTACTTCACACATCTATTTTGAGTTATAGACTTACACATTCAAATGTCTTCTAGTCACCTCATACTTAAAATTTTCTAAGTTTGATTTCTCCACAAACCAAAATCCACCATCTCCAATTTTTCCATCTCAATACATGGTGCTGCTACCCACATAACGCTCATGACGTGAGCCAAGAAGTTACTGCTGATTTGTCTGTGTTACCACATTCAACCCACCACTATGTTTTGTTGAAATATTTCCTAAATAATCCTTTGAGTTCATCCACTTCTCTCCATCTCCTAGTGATTAGCACCAGAAAAGCAGCTGCTGAATCAAAGCAGCTGAGGAGAATCATCTCATCATGAAAAAGATGTAATGGGTCCTACTTCCCATCCTCTGGGAATCCATCATCATGCATTTGCTCATTTCTGTCAAGAACTTGCCTTCCCTGCTTTGAAAAATTTAAAAGTGTCTTCAATTTTATGAAGGAAATAATAATTTAAGACTTTTTTCTTCCTCCTAATGCCTCTTCTTCCTTTCCCTCTGCAGGATTTTCTGTGCTTTCTAGAAGCCCTTTCAAATTCTTGCTGGGGCCTTTTTCTCAAGGGCTTCTCTTTGTCTAGGCAGTTCTCAAATTCAGGTTCCAGGGGACTTCATTTTTAAATTAGTGTTGTTTAGATGTGAACATATTTTATATAACCAGGCATGTGAACACATTTTATTTGAGGACTTTATTTTCAAAATATCATAAAGTGGTATTCTTCCACTAGGGAAGGGAGAGGGCAAAAAAAAAAAAAAGCTATATTAGCATCTTTAAGTCTCAAGGTTTTGCCTCAGGAGAAAAACACTATAATCAAGCTTTGAAAATATCAGACAAGCTCTCTCTATTCCCCAGTAACATCCACCCCTGCAGCTGGCCTTTCATGCTTGGAGACAGCAGTACATATGAGAAATGAATATTACACACACCTGATAGTAGCCAGGTTTCCTCTCTGAAAGGGATGGCCTGCAGAGAGGAGAACCAGAATAGATGTTGATCTAGATGCTGATCTGAACCTTGACAGAAAGAGCTAGTGCTTTTTGTTTCCATCAAACAGTTTTCATTTTGCTTTAGCTAGGCTGATTTCACGAGCAGTCTTACAATACCTGTGACATTTAATTTAATTAATTAATTAATTAATTTACTTATTTATTTTTGAGATGGAGTCTCGCTCTGTGGCCCAGGCTGGAGTGCAGTGACATGATCTTGGCTCACTGCAGCCTCTGCCTCCCAGGTTCAAGTGATTCTCCTTCCTTAGCCTCCCGAGTAGCTGGGATTACAGGCACCTGCCACCATGCCAGGCTAATTTTTTTGTACTTGTAGTAGAGATGTGGTTTCGCCATATTGGCCAGGCTGGTCTCGAACTCCTGACCTCAGGTGATCTGCCTGCCTCAGCTTCTCAAAGTGCTGGGATTACAGGTGTGAGCCACTGCACCCAGCCCCTGTGACACTTTAGAGAAAGATTTTTTTAAATTATTACAACTCTGTTTTAAGGATGGTGTGGTTTTACAGCTTCAAAAAATAAATATCAGGCTAGGCGCGGTGGCTCATGCCTGTAATCCCAGCACTTTGGGAGGCTGAGGCAGGCAGATCTTGAGGTCAGAAGATCAAGACCATCCTGGCCAACATGGTGAAACCCGTCTCTACTAAAAATATAAAAATTAGCTGGGTGTGGTGGTACACGCCTGTAGTCCCAGCTACCTGGGAGACGGAGGCAGAAGAATTGCTTGAACCCAGGAGGCGGAGGTTACAGTGAGCCGAGATCACACCATTGCACTCCAGCCTGGTGACAGAGCATGACTCTGTCTCAAAATAAATAAATAAATATCAAAGGATCAGCTTCTGAGAATGAAATTTGAGGCTTAACATGGATTTGTATCAAGGTCTTCAGGCATCCTCTTGCAGCCCTGGGAAGTGACAGGAATTACAAAGTGAAAAAATGGGTTTTTTATATGTTTTATATGAAACAGTATCTCTAACAGAGTTCTCATTAAGCCTACCTCTCATTATTTGGTTAAATATTGTCCTGCATTATTACGTGACAATGTTTGTGTTCAATATAAGGCAGGAGGAAATTTGTTTTTTTTTTTCTTTTAAAGGAAAAGTTATAATATTTGACAATCAAAATGTTAGAACCAGACCAAGGGAGGCAAATAGAGCTCATAGGTTTGGAACTCAGGGACACACTTTGCCACTTACTAGTTGTATGCACTTGAGCAGGTCACTTGAACCTCATCTTTTAAATGAAGATTTTTTATCATTCAAAAATTTCATTGAGTATCTATTATGTGCCAGATACTCAATGTGGTGGACTGGAGTGAGGGTGATGATGGAGGTATGGTGCGAAACGCAACAGACAGGAAGACAAATGTGTTTTCTGTTTTTACAAACTTAGTTTAGTGATGGGAGATATTAAACAAATAACCAAGAAATTAGGTAACACAGTTGTGGTTAGAACTATAAATGAACAGAACAGAACAGGCTAAAATGAAGCACCTGTTACTAGGGTTAACCTGATACAATCAATAGTTTCTCTGCTAGGCTCAATAATGACCCCTTCCCCACCCCCTACAAAAGGTGCCTATGCCCTAATCGTTGGGACCAGCGAGTGTTATTTTCTATGGCAAAGACTTTGAAGACATGACTAAGTTAAATCTCTTCAGATTGGCCTAAATGTAATCACAAGCATTCTTATCAGACAGAGGCAGAAGATGACAGACAGAAGAGGAAGAGGCAATGTAATCATAGAGGCAGAGACTGGAGTGATGGGGTCACAGCCAAGGAATGCTGGAGCCATCAGATACCGGAGGAGGCAAAGAATGGATTCTCCCCCAGAACCTCTGCAGACTCTTGATTTTAGCCTAGTAAAACTGGTGCTGTCCTCCTACCCTCCAGAACTACGAGATCTTGAGTCTCTGTTGTTTAAAGCACCAAGTTTGTGATCATCTGTTACAGCAGCCATAGGAAACTCACACAGTCTCCACGTGAGAATGAAAGTTGAGACTTAACATGGATTTGTATCAAGGTCTCCAGGCATCCTCTTGCAGCCCTGGGAATTGACAGGAATCGCAAAGTGAAAAATGGGTTTTTATAGATGTGTTGTAGGCAACAGTATCTCTAACAGAGTTCTCATTAAGCCCACCTCTTATCATTACATGGTTGAATACTTCCCTGCATTATTACCTGACAATGTTTGTGTTCAGTATAAGGCAGGAGGAAATTTGTGGGTTTTTTCTTTTAAAGGAAAAGTTATGACATTTGAGAATTAAATATCAGGGCATGCCAAGAACAGGTACAGGCCCCAGGATACAGAAAGTACTCAAATTTTATTTGTTGCCATTTTTATCTGAACTGTCCAAATTAGTGGGAATCTACCTACTGATAATGATCTCCATAGACAGAAAAGTTACTTCAGATGAAAAGAAGGAGAGTGACAAACTCTTCTACTTACTAGTCATAACAGTCATTTAGAAATTTTTGTGTGCAAAATGTTATGGATAGGTTTAGTTAATCATCCTCACATGAAGGAAATACTCTCTTATTGCATCATTTTTGCTCTTGCAGCACTTAACTGTATCCTTCGCTACATCACTTATTTTATATTGATAGTTATTGAAGTTTACCTGTCTGAACTCCTAAGGGTGGGAGCCCTCAGTGATTTAGCTTTATATTCTCTGCACAGAGCAGAGCATCTGGTGCATAGGAGGCACTGCACTGTAAATGATTAATTGATGAACTAACTGAATGGACAGATTCAGACTTCCCAGTTTCAGACAGATATAACAAGTGTGTCTTTGGAGGGAGCACCAAATTGCAAAAGGAAAGGCTGCAACATTACTGCACAGCCTGGAAAAGGCATTGAACTCACTATTCCTATGTTCTCTTCTGTTAAAAAAAATGAAGTGGGGCTGCAGTGGATTAATTTATTCATACAAAAGCTACTTAGTGAGTACTCTTGGCCACACACTATTGTAGAATCTAGGAATATAGCAAGGAACAAGACAACATAAGATTTTATCTCATGCAACTTAAAATACATTAAAAGAAGACAGGAGATAAATAAGAACTTATTAGCTGGTTCTAGTGATTTGACAATGATTAAAGCAGGATGACACAATTGACAGACTGTTAATTGAAATCTGAATAATAAGGAGACAGCCATGCAATAATCTGGGGGAAGTCATGCTGGGTAGAGGGAGAAGTCAGTGCATAGACCTTAAAATAGGAAAAGCTTTGAGTTTTGCTGAATAGAAATAGGGCAAGTGTGGCTGGAGAGGGCAGGGCAGAGAAGAGTGTGGCACAAGATGACAACAGAGAATTTTGGAGGAGCCGTGTAGAGTCTTAAAGAACGGTGTAAAGAGATTGGCCAGGCACAGTGGCTCACACCTGTAATCCCAGCACTTTGGGAGGCCAAGGGGGGTGGATCACTTGAGGTCAGGAGTTCAAGACCAGCCTGACCAACATGGTGAAACCCCGTTTCTAGTAAAAAAAGAAAAAAAGAAATACAAAATTAGCCATACGTGGTGGCGCATGCCTGTAATCCCAGCCACTTGGGAGGCTGAGGCAGGAGAATTGCTTGAACCCAGGAGGTGGAGGTTGCAGTGAGCAGAGATTGCACCATTGCACTCCAGCCTGGGCAACAAGAGCAAAACTCTGTCTCAAAACAAAAACAAAAACAAAAACAAAACAAAACAAAAAACAAAAAAACAGTGTAGAGAGGTTGGACTGGAGGCTTTCAGCAGGGAAGGGACTATACCTGGACTATTTATTTTTCAAAATCACCGTTTCTAAGGGCAAACCACAGCAAAAGCAGAAACACCAGTTAGTTCACAGTGGCAGGAGTCCAGATAGGAGATGATGCTGATGGTTCCTCATAGGGTGGAAGCAGTCAGGATGGAAGGAGGTGGACACATCTGGAATCTCTTTGGGAAGTAAAGTTGACAAGACTTGCTTGTGTGTTTATTGGACACAGAATAAAAGAAAGAGAGAATCAAGAATGACTCCTAAGTTGTTATCATCAGTAAGTGGGTGAATCATGGGTTATTTACTAATAAGGGAAAATTGGAAAGAAATCAGGTTGCAGAATGGAAGTCATGATTTCTGCTTTGAGATTCCAATCAGAAATTTAAATATATACCAAGTGGACAATTGGATATGCAATGTGGAGTTAAGAGTTAGTTCAGGGCCAGGCGCAGTGGCTCACCCTGTAATCCCAGCACTTTGGGAGGCTGAGGCGGGTGGATCACCTGAGGTCAGGAGTTTGAGACCAGCCTGGCCAACATGGGGAAACCCCATCTCTACTGAAAATACAAAAATTGTGACACGTGCCTGTAATTCCAGCTACTCGGGAGACAGAGACAGGAGAATTGCTTGAACCCAGGAGATGGGGGTTGCAGTGAGCCGAAATCACACCACTGCACTCCAGCCCGGGTGACAGAGCGAGACTCCATATAAAAAAACAAAAAAAAAACAAACAAAACAAAACCAAAAAAAACCATAAAAATAAATAAAAAGAAAAGAAAAAAAGAGTCAGAGTTAGTCAAGGCTGGATATAACATCTGAGAATTAATAGTATATAGATTGCATATTGATTTTTAGGGCTATAATAACGAAGTACCCCAAACAGCAGAAATTTATTATCTCACAGTTCTGGAGGCTGGAAGTCTAAAATCAAGGTATTGGCAGGACAATGCTCTCTCAAGTCATCTTGAGAAGGGGAATCTGTTCCATGCTTTTCTCTTAGCTTCCTTAGCATTTTTTGACCAATTTTCACCTCCAGTTTCCAATTGGCATTTTTTGACCAATTTCCACCTCCATTTTCTCTCTTCCTGTCTCTGTGTTCAAATTTTCCTCTTCTTGTAAGGAGACCAGTTTTTTGAATAAGGGTCCACTCTCATGACCTTATCTTAACTTGATTACATCAACAAATACCCTATTTCCAAATAAGGTCACATTCACAGGTATTAAGTTTTACAACTTCAACATCCTTTGAGGAACACAATTTAACCCATAACGGATGGTATTTGAAGCCATGACACTGGATGTGGTCCCCTGGGAGAAGGTTAGGAAAAGAAAAGTTTCAAACACCTGGCCCTGGGGTGCTCCTGCCTTTAGAGGCTGAACAAGAGGGAGCCTGAAAAGGAGTCAGATGGAAAAGCAGGAAAGTCTGGGCTCCTAAAAGACAAGAGATGAGTGTTTTGATGAGATAGTGGTTAAAGCATATTTTTAAAAATAAAAAAACACTAGCTCATGGTTTCTTTTTTGGGAGAAGTTGATTTTACAGCAGAGAAGTTTCAAGTGCAAGAGCCACTCCCTGGAGTAGGCAGGAGGGGCTGGGCTCTAGAAGAGCTGCCCCTTGACTAGAGCAGGAGCCTGGGTCCTCTGCAGCACATCCCTTCACACATCTCTCTCTTGGATCAGGGGCGAAGGCAGACTTGCCAGAAGCACAGGCAGAGAGTTTGAGATGCGATGATGAAAAGGAGTGACAGCTCTCTTCTGAGTCCTTCAGTGTCCTCTGTAATGTGTGAGGCAAAGTTGTTCACTGAGTGTGAGGCAGGAAGAGGGGATGTGGGTGGTATGAAGAGAGAAGTGATATCAGGGGAACCCACCCCCAGTATTTCAACGTAGGTTCTATTTTCCATAAGTGTTGGCCAGCTGAGAAATAAAGAGAGACAGTATAAAGAGAGGAATTTTTACAGCTGGGTGGCTGGGGGTGACATCACATATTGGTAGGACCATGATGCCCACCTGAGCCTCAAACCAGCAAGCTTTTTATTAAGGGTTTCAAAAGGGGAGGGGGTGTAATAATAGACAAAGATCACATGCTTCAAAGGGCAAAAAGCAGAACAAAGATCACATGCTTCTGAAGGAACAGGACAAAGGGCAAAAACAGAACTACCGATAAGGGTCGAACAAAGATCACAAGGCAAAGGGCAAAAGCAGAACTACTGATAAGGGTCTACCTTCAGTGGTGCACGTATTATCTAGATAAACACCTTACCAGAAAACAGGGTTCAAGAGCAGAGAACCAGTCTGGCCACAAACTTACCAGGGCAGAATTTTTTCCCCACCCTAGTAAGCCTGAGGGTACTACAGGAGAGCAGGGCGTATCTCAGTCTTTATCTCAACCGCATAAGACAGACACTCCCAGAGTGGCTGTTTATAGACCTCCCCCCAAGAATGCATTCCTTTAATTAATATTAATATTAATATTAATATTCCTTGCTAGGAAAAGAATTTAGCGATATCTTCCCTACTTGCACGTCTGTTTATAGGCTCTCTGCAAGAAGAAAAACATGGCTCTTTTTGCCCGACCCCGCAGGTAGTCAGACCTTATGGTTGTCTTCTCTTGTTCCCTAAAAATCCCTGTTATTCTGTTCTTTTTCAAGGTGCACTGATTTCATATTGTTCAAACACACAGGTTTCACAATCAGTTTGTACAGTTAACACAATTATCACAGTGGTCCTGAGGTGATGTACATCCTCAGCTTACGAAGATAACAGGATTAAGAGATTAGAGTAAAGACAGGCATAAGAAATTATAGAAGTATTATTTGGAACTGATAAATGTCCATGAAATCTTCACAATTTATGTTCCTCTGCTGTGGCTCCAGCCAGTCCCTCCATTTGGGGTCCCTGACTTCCCACAATAAGGTGAAGGTGTGAGAGGTATTTTGGAAGACTGGGAAGGAAAAATACCAAGTATATATATTAGGGTTGATCTCTGAGGTTGCTTCCAGTTTGGATTCCATTATTCCAGCCAATAATACGTTCTTACATGATAGATAGACAGATAGATACATAGATAGATACATACATGATAGATAGATAGATAGATAGATAGATAGATAGATAGATAGATAGATAGATAGATACAGTGAGTGAGTGGGCTAGGGTCTAAGTGTTTGTATCTTCCCAATTTCCAAATTCATATGTCAAAATCTCAGCCTTCAAGCTGATGGTATTAGGAGATGAGGACTTTGTTAGAAGATGAGGATAGGATTAGTGCCTTCATAAAAGAGAACCTGGAGAGCTTGTTTACCCCTTTCACCATGAGGACACAGTGAAAAGATACCATCTATGAGGAGGTGGTCCCTCACCAGACACCAGATCTGCTGGAACCAAGACCTTGGATCAAGATCATGAATTTCCCAGCCTCCAGAAATGTGGGAAACAAATTTCTGGTTTTTATAAGCTACCCAGTTTATGGTATTTTGTTATGGCATCCCAAATGGCCTAAAATGGGTAGGTAGGTAGGTAGGTAGACAAATAGAGAGATGATACATAGATAGATAGATAGATAGATAGATAGATAGATAGATAGATAGATCTAAGATTAATCTGTCTCTCTCTCTCTGTTCATCTCTCTACCTGTGTACTTTCACAGTTACTTATTAAAAACTGATTTGTAAGTGTCCTTTATGTGTCAAGGGTATTGCTACTGGCTAATTTTCATGTTGTTACACTTTTTAAAGTCTACTCTTTGCTTATTAATTTTGTTATGATATTTTCTGGGTTAATTTTTTCATGTTGTCAAATCTCATACTTCCTTGTGACTTTTGTCAGTAGTTTTATGCATAGAAAATCCTTCCTTTAGAAGAACATTACAGTTTTCTTTTCAGGTTCACCTGCCACCTTTTCTAGGACTACTGGTTTATGATCCTGTCACCTATGGTTACGTTCCTCAAAGTCCTAACACTTGTCCCCATCTGCACCTGGGTGTGGAGCAGATGACACATGCACAGCACTGGCTTCTTCTGCACCTGAAGAGTGTGGAAAATACACACTGTCAGATCCAAATTAATAGCGAAGTTATTTTATGCTTTTTATTTTTCATATAATTGAATATTCAGCTTTTTCACATGGATTGCTCAGTTTTTCAGCTTAAAGTCAGGAGTTGGGGGAAAAAAAAAGCAAAACAGTTAAGTGAAAAGAAGGAATATCTGGTGAACAAGTAGAGCTTCGTCTGTTTTCACCATGGAAGCTGGTGGTCAGATGCCTGGAGCACAGAGAGAAAAGCCCTTGGAGAAGCTCAGACGTCAAGAGAGAAGCTCTGCCTCATGGTGTCAATGGACAAACCAGGGCTGGGAAGAGTATTTTGCTCTCAAGGTTTGAGGCGCTCTCTTTCAGGGACTTTCCAGGGACTTGAATAAGGGTCTGAAGTCTCCTTTGTCACGTTTCACTTCATCTAATATGATCTCTGTCACTTTTTTTTTTTTTTTTTTTTGAGACTGAGTCTTGCACCGTCACCCAGACTGGAGTGCAGTGGCACGATCTCGGCCCACTGCAACCTCGGCCTCCCCGGGTTCAAGTGATTCTCCTGCCTCAGCCTCCTGAGTAGCTGGGATTACAGGCATGCGCCAACACCCAGCTAATTTTTGTATTTTTAGTACAGACGGGGTTTCACCATGTTGGTCAGGCTGGTCACAAACGCCTAACCTCGTGATTCGCCCACCTTGGCCTCCGAAAGTGTTGGGATTACAGGCGTGAGCCACCGCGCCCTGCCAGCTCTGTCACTGTTACTTGAGAAGAGCAAGTCCGCCCTTGGGCTGAGTTCAAGTTTGCTTCTAAAGAAATAGTGTGGGAGCGATTAAGCAGGAAGCATGTGGCCTGAGCATGCGCATTTCTATCCAGTCAGGGATACTCAGGCTGACGCCTCCCTCCAGTGCAGGAATCATGAAATAACAAATATTTATTGAGCACCTACTCCTTACCAGGCATTGTTTCAGAAATGAGAAATCTTACTTGTATATTGAATTTGCCTAAATTAGACGATCCTTTCAAAAGAACTAACTCTTCTATAGTATGCAGACTGAGGATATCCTAATTCCTTCAGCTTTTCACTTACCTCATCAGATATAATGACACTGTCTCACAATTATATTTCTTCAACGTCCAGCCATTAGTCTCTGTTCAGATATTAATAATTATTATTATGATGATGTTATTACTATTAGTATTATTTACTCCTGAATTAGCAGGATGACATAGAGATCATTAGTGACAATACACCATCCGCAATGTCATCAGAATTGTTTGTACTTCTGGGTCTGTGTCTTTGCTCTATCTTCTCTCTCCCTGCCATCTCTCCACTCTCTTCTCTCTGTTTCTGTCCCTCTTCTGTCTCTCTTCTCCCTCCTCTTCTTCCTCTTCTCCCTCCTCCTCCTCCTCCTCCTTCTCTCTCTCTCTCTCACACACACACACACACACACACACAGCAACATACAGCACGCCTGGATTTCAAACAATGGGGTGCCCTTTCCCACATTACCCATAGAGCACACAACTCCAGCCCTCTCTATTCACAGATTTAGCTGCTGTAGAGGTTCATGGTGTACTGTCACGTACAATTTTCTTTCTTTTGTGGAGTAATTGAAATGGAGTCATGACTCAATCCCTACTGAAACACTGCATTGTGAGGCTGACAGATTTGGAAAATACTGCAACTCCTACCCTAACCAAAGCTGTCTTTCTGGTCCCTATTCTATTATTCTTCCCATCAGTTGCTGTCCGTGCTTGGAGACTCTTTTCCCTACTTAATTTAGTTGCATGACTAGAAGTAATGAGGAGCCTAAGTGAATTGCAGATTGGGGCTGAAAAAAATAGTGCCCTATCTTCAGAGTAAATTAGTTTAAAAGTAAGGCCATGCTTACATCAGGATCTCTCCAATGAAATATTGGAAGAAGTCAGGGTTCCAGGGAATGAAATGACTTTGGACTCCTTGAATCGTAATTGATTAGTGTATATGTGATCCATTTTAAGTGGTTCCAGCTAAGTACAATCCTACTTATAGAGGTTGTTCATTTTAATTTTTCCCTCGATTAAATCCCATTGCCGTGTGAACCTCATTATTTCCCTGGACCATCCTTCCAATTGCTCCTTTACCTTAAAGAAGAAATTGAGATCCTTGTGAAGGTAAGCATTTAGCATGGTTTTATGCTAGAGTGAGATCTGGACTTTGATTTGAGAGCTTCTCATCTGTAGAACTGAACATTTCAGCACAAAGGTACCACCCGCTCAGACTCTAATGCCATCAGCTTCGTAGCTGGGTGGCATTGCTATGGCAGTCTCTCAGTGCACATCATGCCCTGTCTGCCCAATTGTCAATGAGGTCCTTGATTCAAGTATTTTTGGTCCTTATGATGCAGGATTTATACCATGTATTGATGTAGCTAATGCCAGCTAATGACTTGTGACATATACCCATGTGCTCTTCCCTGTTACTCCTCTCTTTCCCCCTCCATTTGCTTCCTCCTTCCCCGCTTATTTCTCCTCACTAAGGAATGGCATCATTCTTGCCATGGCACCAAGATATTAAGCCCCTGGCCTGCTTCTTTGATGACATTGCCTTGATTGTGCCTTGCTACTTTCTCAGGTACTTCTCTAGTTCTTATTACGTTGATGTTGAGCCCTCTGTACCTTTTGAATGTGCTCACAATCTGATATTTTCAATATAATTGTATGCTTTCCATCATTAAAAGTGCTGGGCTAAGGCCTGCATTGAGTAGTGCCTTCTTCAGGCCCCATGTTGCTCTGTGCCAGTCCTGAGTCCACCTTGGACAGCCCTCCTCTCCGACGGAAGACTGCTCCTTCGCTTTGCTACTTATGGCCCCTGAGGGATTCAGCTCTGGGCTACGGTGCCAAACACTCTACTCATCACATTCCTAATTCTCTCCGGGGCCATCCTGATTGTTTTTAGTTTTTTACTGACTCCTGGCCCCATGGAGCAGCCCCTGGCTCTGCAGTCTGTGTGGCAGAGTCCACACAGAGCAACATGGTCTCAGGACCGCAGCAGCCACACAACTCTCAGATCTCTGTGGTCTTTGTGCAGCTCCACTGACTCCTCTCAGCAGGCTTGGAGGACCGTTTATCTTGTCCTGTGGTGCTGAGTAGAAAGACATAGTTTCATGGTAATCAGGCAGTGTGGAAACTAGCTCTCCAGTATAGCATAGTTTCTCATTTCGTAGACTTTTCCTCCTCCTAATTTCAAATGCTCCTTCAATGACAGACATGCAGTATCCCCTATGGAACCCAGTCTGCCAGCTGGAACTGGAGCAGAAAACATTAGCTCTGTCTCACCTGCCACGTGGGCAACACTCACACATAGATGCTAATTTAGATAAGTTTTAATTCAGTCTAACTTAGAAGGCCATTATAATGGGAACAAACAACATCTTCTCATAGGGTAAAACATTGTCCCAGATCCTAGAGCAAGCAAATATGATCTTAACTTTCAGGTACATAAATATTCTTATGAACATACACAGTAACACAACACATATGCAGAGTATGTACCACTGTATAGATCGACCACACACTTCACAGCACGCATCAACACCTGTACCAATGTGACTACAGCATGAAATATTAGGATTATTCAAAAAATAGCCATTTTGAAATCAGCCAATTTCTGTATTGAAAACTGAACATTAAGTTGTAAATAGTGCTCTGTCATGCTTTCCCCAAACCCCTGCCCAGACCGATTTATCTTGGGTCTTTTTAAGGTACAGGTGATTCTCAGTGATTTACTCTAGGAATATGCTAACCCCTTTCTCTTGCCATGCAATTTTAGTCCACACTTGTTCCTTGTTCACCAGAGAAACCTCAATTACAACTTCAGACCCACTGAGCCACTCAATTTCCTATAGGTTCCCATCCAAAATTTGCGGTTCTGCTCCTCTTGTTCCATAATCATGCAGCACTTTGTGCATTCTCTTCTGTAGTACTTTGATATAGGATGGTGGCTATTTGTGTCCACAACCATCCTTACATTATTCTGTGAACTTCCTAAGAGAAGGGGCTCTTCTCACCCATCTCTGCAATCCTAACACTGCAGCGTAGTGCCTGGAATGTGGTAGACCCTCCCTTAATCCATTTCTACTGAATTACTACTGGATGAGTGATTGGATTGCCAATTGATTTGTCACTTCAGTCATGCATTCATATGTTAAACTGTGTGGATCAAAACCCAAAGTTATCCACAGTAGCGTAATACAAACCCAGCCTAAGGATTTCGTTGGTAAAATCCTAGCAGGAGGATCGGTTGCCCTTCCCAGTGTGTAACTGTGCTCTTCCCAACACGGCTGCTTGATCATGCTGATGTATTCAGGGATGCTTTTAGATTTGATTGATTGATTAGTCTCTGTTCTCTTCAGTTTCCCATAAAGTTGCATGTGAGTGTGCTTAATGGGCTAGTACCTATTTTTCTTTCCTTCAGCAGTTGGTTGGGGAATTTTTCTTTGCATAGGGAAATCTAACGCCTTGTCTGTCAGTGTGGCAGTTCTGGTGATGTGACTGTTTAGTGAGACAAGGATTAAGAATATTTAGTCATCGGCACCTAAACTATGTTCTCTCCTGTCAGGGTAGGAGTCAATGAAGACATCTTAGTCTTCT
Source organism: Homo sapiens (assembly GCF_000001405.40). Lineage (NCBI taxonomy): Eukaryota > Metazoa > Chordata > Mammalia > Primates > Hominidae > Homo > Homo sapiens. The sequence goes on from NC_000006.12 coordinate 12,460,325, forward strand.
TAATAAGTTACAGATAATCTGTCTCTGAGTGCATGCTTCCTGCTTCTAGCTTGGAGCCAAATGTTGCTCACACTGAAAAGAATAATGTCTGTCTGTTTGTTTGGATATTAACTCTATTTTGATCTATAGCACAATTTTGTAATTCAGATTGTCACCCCTGCACTTCGTACCACATGTGCATATTCGTTCTTCCCAGTCATTGCTGCAATTATCTTGTCTGTTCTTTGTGTAATATGTTCTGTGTGGGCCTCTGCATTGAATTCCATTTCTTGGGCAATTATGGAAATTCCAGTTTGGCTGCAGTTTAACTTTGCACTCTCTATTCATATGAAGTTTTCTAAATAAACTTGAAGAGTAGCATAGTTTGAAATCATCGTGAATCTCCTTAAAGGAAGAATTTTTAAAGAAGGAATAATTTTTGAAAACAATCAATTCTGCTAATCAGGTGTAGTTTTCTCCAGTTATGAACATAATCTCTATCTGGAAACATCCTACAAAAATTATCTCCATTATCTTATGTATGTTAAAATAATTAAAAAATGCTTCTTAAAATGTGTCAATAACTCATATTTTAACTTAAATACTTTTAAATTTTTAAAAATAGACAATAATTGTACATTTCCCTAGGGTAATAGTGATGTTTCAATACACATAAAGTATGATGATCGGATCAGGGTAATTAGCATATCCATCACCTCAAACATTTATCATTTTTTGGTTTGAGAACATTCAATAGTTTCCTTCTAGCTTTTTGAAACTATATATTATTGTTAGCTATAGTCTTCTGCAGTACGGTAGAAGGCTAGAAATTATTCCTCTCATCTATCTGTAATTTCGTATCCTTTAACAAATCTCTCTCTATCCCCCTACCCCCTACCCTTCCCAGTCTCTTATATCTTCTGTTCTACTTTTTACTTCTATGAGATCAACATTTTTTAGCTTCCACATATGAGTAAGAGCACATGGTGTTTAACTTTCTGTTCCTGGCTTATTTCACTTCACATAAGTTCCTCCAGTTCCATTTATATTACCACAAATGACAGGATTTCATTCTTTTTTATGGTTGAATAGTAGTCCATTATGTATGTATTGGAATAACTATAGTCATCAGCTATTGGACACCTAGGTTGATTCCATATCTTGACTATTGTAAATAGTGCTGCAATAAACAAGGGGGTACAGATGTCTGTTTGATACACTGATTTTCTTTCCTTCAGATAAGTGCCCAGTAGTGGGATTTCTGGATCATATGGTAGTTCTATTTGTAATTTTTTGAGGAAACTCCATACTATTTTCCATGGTGGCTTTACTAGTTTACAGTCCCACCAACAGTGTATGAGTTACCTTTTCTCTGCATCCTCACCAGCATTTGCTATCTTTTGTCTTTTGATAATAGCCACCCTAATTGGGGTGAGATGATACTTCATTGTGGTTTTGATTTGCATTCCCCTGATGATTAGTAATGTTGAACATTTTTTCATATATTTATTAGCCATTTGTTTGTCTTCTTTTGAGAAATGTCTATTCAGATCACTTTATTGCTTTTTCTTTTTCTATTAATCTAAGGAAGGCCCTCTATAGTTCTCAGAATTGAAAGGTCACGATATAGGAATACATGAAGAACTGTCTTCACATTATACCATAAACTCCCAACATTCTTTCCTTTTAACAAAGCCCAGGGCAAAGGGTATTTCTGGTTTTTCTAAGAGCTACAGAAGTTCCAGAACTGTACTTGGAAATAGGGAAAGGACTGGCAAACTTTTCCTGCAAAAGGCCATGGAGTGAATATTAGGGCCATATACAGTCTCTGTCACATACTTTTCTTTGCCCCACCCTCCAACCCTGGGCCCTGCTTCGACAACACCTTAAAAATGTAAAATCCATTTTTATCTCATAAGACCATACAACAACAGGGGCTAGGCTGGATTTGGCCCACAGACAGGAGCTTGAGAATGCCTGGCATAAAGGATTGCTGTTTCCTTGTGAGTGCATATGGTTATGTATGTTGTGAGTGTGTGTGAGTGTGTTTGTGTGAAGGATTTAGATGGTGGCCATTGAAAGCCTGGAAAACATTTTTTTTTCTAGTTTGTGAAACATTGTAGTCTTTCCTGATGCTCAATTTAGATCCTTTTAATGACCTAAAACTAGCCAATTTAGGCCGGGCGCAGTGGTTCACGACTGTAATCCCAGCACTTTGGGAGGCCGAGGCAGGCGGATCACGAGGTCAGGAGATTGAGACCATCCTGGCTAACACAGTGAAACCCCGTCTCCACTGAAAACACAAAAAAATTAGCCAGGCATGGTGGCAGGTCCCTCTCATACCACAACCCAGCAAAAACAGCTATTAAGTTATTCATGTCAGTTTGCTTCCGAACTTTTTTGTACATATGTGTTCCTATTATATGTACACATCTATACACATGTTTATGATATATACATATGTATAGAGCCATAACTATGAATCCAAAATTCAATTTTTTTTCTTTTGTTTTTGAGACGGAGTTTCACTCTTTTTGCCCAGGCTGGAGTGCAATGGCATAATCTCAGCTCACTGCAACCTCCGCCTTCTGGGTTCAAGCAATTCTCCTGCCTCAGCCTCCTGAGTAGCTGGTATTACAGGCACGTGCCATCATGCCCAGCTAATTTTGTATTTTTAGTAGAGATGGGGTTTCACCATGTTGGCCAGGCTGGTCTTGAACTCCTGACCTCAGGAGATCTGCCCGCCTCAGCGTCCCAAAGTGCTGGGATTACAGGCTTGAGCCACTGCGCCCAGCCCAAATTATTTTATATTAATTATTTTATATCAACTTTCATTTAATCTGTTTTAGGCATCTTCTGATATAATCACTGGTTCTTTGAAAACATAATTTTAGGCACCATTCTATCTTATCAAAATATCGCCATGCGTTGATTCATTTTCTATTAGACTGTTTTCACTCTAATGCATGGCCCTACAATTAACAATGTCAAAGCTGCAGTAGTTGTGGGTAATTTTTAGAAAGTGGCAATTTTGCTCTCCTGAATGAGGGCCAGAGGTCTCACAAATACATAACTGGAGGAAAGCAGGAAACAATCACATTAGTTTCTTAGAAATTCACGTTAATAAGGAAAGGGAGTGAAAAAGCTTGGATATTTCCCACTAGGAAGTAAGCAACCTTCAAACGTTTCTTATGTTTATTTTACTCAACAAGATATGCCAAGCGCTTCATGACACTTTCTCAGCCAGCTTATCTTTCCTGTCTGTAAATTCTTTTTTCCACTTTACCTCACCTTCCACTTCTTCTCCATGAGTGCCATAGGCCTCAACTATGTGTAAGGTATGCTAAAAAACCAGAACTTTTAAAATAAGTATTTGCTGTTGGCAATTCAACCTAAAGCAGGCCACCAATTTCAGGTGATAGCGAAATAACGATGATTGGAAATACAAAACTTAAGGAAGATGCATGGCATTTGCTTTTATATTGTCTGTGCCAGATGAATTAGCTTTGAGTTCTACAGATACAGAAACTTCTAAAAACTGAAATAGCCTGGTATTTGGCAGTAAAAGTTTTGATGAAAAAATGTAAAATTTTACCTCATAGGTAGTGTTTGTCATAGAAGCTCAAAAGATAAAATAAATTCAAATTTCTTATGTATCATAACAAATACTGCAAAATATTAGCCTAAGGCCATACAGCTACAACAGTGAAAGTATCTGAATCAGAAATATGTATACTATTCTCTTTATCTAACAAAGGTATACACTGTCAGCAAAAAGAATAAAAGAAAGGATTCTCTTCCAAAAGGAACAACTGGCTCATTGATATTGATAATATCCAGGGATCTGGATATCAGTGGCTTTCTTTGATACCTAGAGCCTTCCCTAAGTGACCAGGTGGATTCATTCAGAAAGCATCTTCAGAGCTAATTTCATTTCCTACCCACAAAAGCCACTTAGCACAAAGGCAATTTCCAGGTTCTTTCAGAACGTAGAAGGATAGAGGTAATGCCTAAAGCCAGATGCCAGTTCTGAATAAGGCTGCCAGAACTTCTTCTGCTCATTGTCTTCATTCCATTTCATTTTACTAAGCAATTGGAAAACATTGGTTTCCAATATTGTAGATGAGGAAACCGAGATTCAAAGAGGGTATGTGACTTATCTAGGGTCCTACCCTTGAAACGTGAAGGAATTGGACTCTAGACCTCAGATTAATTTTGTAAACACCTTGTTGTGTGGCAGACTTTGAAGGAGCTGGAATCTTTCTCTGTGTGAAGAATACCCCTGATGTACATGTCTTGAAATTGTGTCATTCTACCAGAAGAGAGATTCTTTTGGTTCGATCACTTTTAATGATATGGGAGACATCAAGAATTTATGGAATGCCCCAAATGGTACTTTTTTATTGGCTATCTCTAACCTTTATGAAAATTCTGCAAGGTAGAGATTCTTCTTTCCAATCTACAGTTAAAAACATATGGTTCAGAGCCATTAAATACTTCTGAGGTCCCACAGCTAGAAAAGGTGCGCCTGGTACTTGAACCCAGATCTCTGGGAGCAACCTTCTCCTACCTCCCTGGGAGTGACTGTTAAATATAAATCCCCCATAAGCAGCAACCTGCCTAATGGACATCTCCACTTGGACATCAAATTAGCATCTCAAATTCAATATGTCTGAAACTAAAATTCCAATGCCTCTTATCCCTATCCCCAGAGATCTGCTTTTCCTGTAGCCTTTCCCATGGCAATTTGTTCTTCCAGTTGCTCAAAGCCAAAACCTTGGAGTCGTCTTTACTTTTCGTTCTCTCACAGCAATCACTTAGGAAATCATCTTTAAAATATACTGGGATCTGACTACTTCTCACCACCTCTACTGTGGCCACTGGTTTGGACTCCATCCGCTCACCTAGATTGTCACTAGAGCCTCCCAAATTCTACCCTTAATCCCTAAATTGAATCCAGAGTGATGTTTTAAAATGTGAGATGGTCACATCACCCTTTTCCTCAGTCACTTATGGTGTATCTTCATTTTACAAAGAATAAAAGCCAAAGTCCTTAAAATGGCCTACTAGGTCCCATGTCATATAACCCGGGTTTCTTCTCTGTCTCCGCTTTCTTGTACTCTGTCCATGCATTTTAGCCACACTAGCCTCCTTTCTATTTTTGGAGGCCACACACTCTTTCCCTCAGGGACTTTTCTCTAGCTATTCCTTTGCCTGGAACATTCTACCCCCAATATCCATTTGGTTAACTCCCTTACCTCCTTCAAGTCTTCATACAAATGTCATCTCTCAGTGACATTTAATAGACCATTCTGTTTAATACCTCACATGCTTCCCAGCACATGCTCGGCACTCCCATTCCTCCCTAAAGTGATCTACTTCTTTCCCCATAGCACCTTTTAAACATTCAATATAATTTACTTATTAATTATGCTTATTGTATATTGTTTGCCTCCATCCATTAGAATATAGGCTTCCTGAGGGCAGGAATGTTGTCTGTGTTGCTCAGTGATAACTGTAAATGCCTGAAACAGTATGTACACATAGTAGGCACTTAACAGGTCTTTTCTGAATACATGAATGAACGAATGAACTGGAAATTAACTGAATCTGATTCAAGAACAGGTTAGAGTCATCTCTTCTGCGAAGAAATTACAGATGTTAAACAGAGAATCTATCACCAACCAATCCCTCACTCTAGTCCAAGGGAGAAGTGTGAGTTTTCCAAAGTTTAACTTATCAATTATAATGGAAAATGTATACTAGAAATCAAAAGAAGCATTTTCCCTAGAAATGGACTTTTTCAAAAAGTTAAACAACTGTGTATGCATAATATTTGCATGGAAAATGAATCAACATTTGAATTCGAATCTTGTTTATAAAAAAGTAGTAAACTGAGGGTCAGAATCCTGTTAAAAATTCCTTGTTTCCCAAGATATGTTCTGTAGAATTCCAAGCCTAGTGAAATAAGTGTTCTTAGGTAGAATAAAATACTAAAATGACTCTGTGGGCTGCTAGAATTGGTTCCTACTGGCTCACCAGAACCAAATGTGCACATCTCTTTCCAGCTCCACATTTCTGGAAATCTGCTGTGTTAGGAGAATTTACACCATGGAAATAGGCATGTGGCAATCAGCAAATGCTATGAGTCAGGGAATGTTATTTTGGATATATTCAAATAAGATTTAAATAAGACAGTCAGTTGCTTAGCATTCATTAGCACACAGAATCTGTATGTGTATATTGAAATCTTAGAGATGGCGGATGGCGGAGATTCATTTCACTTTCTTTACTAAATGTATGTAACTATGGAATCTTTTTTTTTTTTTAAGTATACAGTGAAACACATGTTAATAGCCTAACAGAATATACTACTTTATAAAACACTATGATAGTGGAAATTGCATGAAACCTTTGAGTCTAAAAATCCTAGGCTATAAAATATGTAATCTTAGGAAAAATATTCCTTCATGTGAAATGAGAAAAATATCTTGCAAAATTTTTGAGAGGCTTAAAATGAAAGAAAGTATGTGATAGTTCCTGACACAGATTAGGCACTTAATAAATGTCCATCTTTCTCTTCCCCATTCTTGTCTCCCCAGCCTAGCTTTTGGAAAATGTAAAATGAATCAGGGACGTTCCTATTGCCAGAGTGGGAACTGTCATTTGAAATCTTATTTCGCATCACATAATCTGATATACAAATACATGATCAAGAATAAGAAATTTTTGGACCAATATTTTATTTGTCTTAACACCTTAAAAGATACTTATTCTAAGCTTAGATTTACATTTTGATTTATCATAAAATAGTTTGAATAATAATTTTAAAAAATAAATCAAGCTATGAAATTTCAGAGTTTTTGTTTTGTTTAGTTTTGTTTTGTTTGGCATATTATCTAGTGTCAATTTTTTTCCTGATGAGTTTTCTTATACCCAAGTATGGAAACATCTTTGAATTCTATTTCCTCGAAACACTCTAGTTTATCCAAATTGTAAATTAGGGCTTTGGATCCAAAAAGCTTGTTATGTGTGAATTATCTTTAAGTCTGGGAGGTATCTTTTCCTAGTAAACTAACTTCTCCATGTACTGAGTATGTATTTCATAAGAAACTAAAATCTCACTAGGGGCCGGGCGCGGTGGCTCACGCCTGTAATCCCAGCACTTTGGAAGGCCGAGGTGGGCGGATCACAAGTTCAGGAGATCAATTCTGTCCTGGCTAACACGGTGAAATCCCGTCTCTACTAAAAATACAAAAAAATTAGCCGGGCGAGGTGGCGGGCGCCTGTAGTCCCAGCTACTCGGGAGGCTGAGGCAGGAGAATGGCGTGAACCCGGGAGGCGGAGCTTGCAGTGAGCCGAGATTGCGTCACTGCACTCCAGCCTGGGCGACAGAGCGAGACTCCATCTCAAAAAAAAAAAAAAAAAAAAAAAAAATCTTACTAGGTAAAATAAGTTGGTCACCCTTATTTATTATGAAAACCAAATGGTCAATTGTAGAAGTTTCTAGGAAACGCTTCCCAAACAGCCCCAATCTTAACTCAAGAAGCTGTTTTTGCCAAAGTCAACTTGGCTTGTGGTAAGTAGGACTGATCAAAACATCGTTCATCAGAATAATAAAGATATTCCAAGTGATGTTTCAAAACCACTGTAAAAAAATCCCTTGCATGTGTAAATTGGAGGAGCAGCAGTTTATGCAAGGAAAGGTTTTTTTTTGTTTTTTTCTGAAATGGTATTTCCTGTGGGACTCTTGGTCAGGATGGCCTCGTTTGGGACATGCCATGTGATTTTTCTATCAGCATCACTCTCCAGACTCAGGGGAGGCTAAGTGAGCAGGGAAGTCATATATTTGACTACAAGTGGAAAAAACTCTTGGTGCTATTCACAGAGCCTTTACAGACATGAGATTGAGATACAGATGTGTAGAAAGTCCTAACCATCCACATCAATCTAAAGGAACTTCCTTGTTTGGTCTCCCTGATTGAAACAGGAAATAATCATCTTCGGAAACGTAAAGTGGTCAGCTCTAGCCATTTTGTGGGTTGCAAAGATTTTTCTTTCCTGTTATCTCCCGGGATGTTATCTCCAGGAAAGAAGAAATAAGCACAGACATGAGAAGTCATCAGCAAAAGGCCTTCTAGAGCTCCAGGTGTACTTTATTATGTTGTGCTGATTTTGCAACAGCCAACATTCTTGTGGACTAAAACAGTCACTTCGAATTCCATTTAATCTAAAAGCCAAAACCTCTGCCAAAGAGAGATTATGGCTGGAACACAGACCTTAATAAGGTACATAACTAGCGACAACAACAGAAGTTAAACTGTTCTTTCTTCTAGGCATCCTTGTTAGTATTTGTTAAATATTACCATTTAAAAACTAGTTTTATAGGAGAAAAAATATATTTTAATTCCTTCTTTGGCTGTGAGTGAGATTGAATGGTTTTTTATGTTTGTAACCTAGTTATCATGTTAGTGACCTAGTTATATGTCACAAACCAAATGCCTGCCCCATTCCCTTTAAAATTTTGTTAATGCCCTTTGCACATTTTTAATTGAATTTTCATTTATATTTCCTTGTTTGCACATTTGTTCAATATGCAAATATTTATTTTTTATATTTTAAAATTGACAAGTAAATATTGTATATATTTATGGTATACAACATGATGTTTCGATATTTGTGCACATTGTGGAATGGCTAAATCATATGCATTACCTCACATACTTATGTTTTTGTGGTGCAAACACTTAAAATCTACTCTTAGCAATTTTCAACTATATAAGATACTCTTATCAACTATAGTCCAACATGACATACCATAGATCTCTTGATGTTACTCCTCTTAACCAAAATTTTGTGTTCTTTGACCAATATCTCCCCATACCCCTGTTCTCCAAACTCTAGTGACCACCATTTTACTCTCTGTTTTTATGACTTTGACTTTTTTAGACTCCACATATAAGTGAGGTCATGCAGCATTTGTCTTTATGTATCTGGCTTATTTCATTTAATGTCCTCCAGGGTCATCCATGTTGTCACTCATGACAGTATTTCCTTATTTTCATGACTAAATGTTATCCCATTGTGTATATACACCACATTTTCTTTATCCATTTATCTATTGATTGATACTTAGATTGATTCCATATCATGGCTATTGTAAATAGTGCTGCAAAAAAACATCAAAGTGCAGATGTCTCTTTGATACACTAATTTTCTTTCCTTTGGAGAAATGTCTGCTTGTGGGATTGCTGGATCATATAATAGTTGTATTTTTAATTATTTGAGGAATTTCCATACTGTTTTTCATAATTCCCATATTAATCCAAATTGCCACCAACAGTGTACATTTCTCTTTTCTCCACATCCTCAACAACATTGGTATCTTTGGTCTTTTTGGTAATAGCTGTTCTAACAGATGTGAGGTGATATCTCATTGTGGTTTTAATTTGCATTTCCCTGATGATTAGTGATATAGATCATTTTTTCCCTTTTTACATATATTCCTTATAAACGTATGCATATTCCTTATAAAATAAAGTGGCCGGGTGCAGTGGCTCACACCTGTAATCCCAACACTTTGAAAGGCCAAGCTGGGCGGATCACCTGAGGTCAGGGGTTCGAGACCAGCCTGGCCAAACTGGTGAAACCCAGTCTCTAGTAAAAGAACAAAAAAATTAGCCAGATATTGTGACGGGCACCTGTAACCCCAGCTTCTCGGGAGGCTGAGGCATGAGAATCCCTTGAACCCAGGAGGTGGAGGTTGCAGTGAGCCGAGATTGTGCCACCGCACTCCAGAGCGGAACTCCATCTCAAAAAAATAATAATAATAAATAAAACAATAAACTAATCCTCTGATAGATATCTGAATTTGTTTAAAGAGAAGTTTAAAATTTCAGCATGTAACCATCACTTGGGTTCCAAAGGGGATTGGTTCTAGGACCCCGTGGATATCAAAATTCAAAGATGCTGAAGTCCCTTATGTAAAATGAAGTAGTATTTACATACAATCTATGCCTATCCTCTCATATGCTTTCAATAATGTCTAGCTTACTTATAATACCTAATACAGTGTAAATGTTACATAAGTAGTTGTTACGGCATATTTCTTATTTATATTATTTTTATTTTTACTGTTTTTATTTTTAATTTTTTGGAATATTTTCGATTGGTGGTTGGTTGAAGTCATGAATGCAAACCCATGGGTCCAGAGAGCAAACTGTCCTTAGGTTGATCACACTCTTTCTTTCTAATTATTTTCTATCACGTCTATTCTTAGTGTATTTTCTGCATTGCAATCTGCTAAACATACACTCCTATTTTCTCCTAGTTTTTGAAGCCTTTAGGTTATATTTAATTTCTTAATACATCTGGAATTTATTCTAGTCCCTTTGTGAGTTAAGTTCTAAGTGGAATTTTTAAGATATCAAATTAATTGTCCCAGTGTTTACCAAATATGCCTTCTTTCCTCATTGATTTGTGACCTTAGCAAGAGCAGGCCTGAGAACTACACAGGCTTATGTCCTGCTGTCAGCTCCTTACAAACCGAGTGATCCTGAGCAAATCCCTTTAACCTCTCGGCTCTCAGTTTACCCCTTTGTGAAGTAGAGGTAATGATAGCCAACTGCTATGGTCACTGTGAGGATGAAGTGAGAAAATGCAGGCAGAGCAATGTTCCTGGTAGGTCACTAGCGCATTTGGCGGTGTTATTAGTAATAGTAATCGGTCTCCCTCTCTGTAAGAGCTAGTAATGGAAGCTCTGACACTGGTCTGCAGGAGAGAGAAAACCGTCTCTCCCCTGTTTCTTCCCAGCCCATTCCATCTCTGACCTCATCCCCTGCTGCCAGCCTACCCCATTCCCTCCTCTCCAGTTTCCAGGCTGCCTCTGCACCAGCCAGGCGCCTTCTGCCACAGGCTTCACTCTTCTCTTCCAAGTCCCTGGATGTTTCCCCAGTTCACACCTGGCTTGCTCCCTCACCTTCAGAGAGCCTCTGCCCAGCTGAAACCTTCTGACTGGGGCCTTCCCTAAACCCACCCACTTAAGTTTGGACCTCCTCAGTGCCCTCTCTCATCCTTCCTTGTTTATTTTCCTCTACAGCAGTTACCACCTCCATATAGTTTGCTTCTTTGTGTATTATCTGTCTTCCCCGACAACAGAAATCTCCCCAGGGTCAGGGCTTTTATCTCTGTTGTTCATTAGTGTATTCCCAGGGCCTGTAATAGAGCCTGAAATGCAGCATGTGTTCCATGCATTACTGTTGAATGAATGAATTCTTGAACATTTTACTTTATATTGTTGTAACCTAACAATCTGTGGGGGTGGGGGTGGGGGTATTATCAAACCAGAGAGTAGAGGAGGTAAGAGATGTGACAGAAGGAGGGCAGCGAGCACCCTCTTAAGGGGAAGGCTTCATTGGAAGCACCCTTCTGGAAGCCCCAGCTATGGAAAGCGTCTGTGCAGACTTGTTCATGTGTCCGCCCTCTGGAGAAGGGGACTGGTGAGAACTAAATGGTCAGCCTTGGTTTGATGAAAGAGAAGCAGGAAAGGAGAAGCAATGGCCCTTCTGTGAGTGGGCATTGTCTCTGAGTGGGGGTTTTGCCTATTAGAGCCGTTAAATAACATGCATGCTAAGTTATGGACTATAGTGATAAAACATTCGTCCTAGTTTGTTAAATGCCATGAGACAGAAGACTCTGTAACTTAACACCTAGCAATCCTATGTAGCACAATTCTTAACGATTTCTATAAACAAACCTGACTCTTAGATATTACCTATTTTTCTGCACACTGTGAAACATCCAAGTGTTTGACAACTGCAAGTTGCACTAAGTCTTTTGGCATCATCTTGATTTCGTGACATTCTCTACATGACTACTGGGAAAGTTAGATTTGCTCTTAGTTTTCTTTTTACACAGTCACCTGGGGGCTCAAGAGATGTCTTCATGCTTTATTCTAATGTTCTCTTTATTTTACTGTGTTTACTTAACAAAATTGAAATGCTCTCCTGCACGAACTATACTACCAAAAACCTTTCAAAGGAATTCTTATCACTCCCATGAACTCACGGACATGGGTTCCCAAAGACTCAGAGCTAGGGGAGTTTTCCTCTGCGTCTTTGTCCTATCTCTTTCCAAACCTACGTAACCTTGTTTAGTATGCCTTGTTTTCACTTCTCCCATTTCCAGACGATTCAGAGCAGAACTCCAAAACATTTTCCTCAGATTTCTATGTTCTTGGATGACTAAAGAAGTTTTAACAGTGAAAAAATAAAAATAAAAAAAAAGAGGGAGGGAGGGGTATGACTTCACTCTCTAAGCTGCAAGTCTTTTATAACCCCTCTTGGACTTGAGGCAGAGCAGACTGGCCAAAGAGAGCATTGGCTGTTGCCTTAGCAACTTCCTGACTCACTGGCTACTTGCCCTGCGCAGAAGCCCTGAAGGAGCTGAAACCATGTAACCTCCATTAGAAGGCCCTCTTTGGCCCATGTTTACTGTTGAACACCCAGTGAAGATGTGGTTTTGAGGAATGAGAGACAACCAGTGATTGCCTGCCCATACATGAAGAGGCAGGTATTTCAAAACCAGGATGCCTTGCCTGATATAAGCACAGATGAGTCACATGAGTTGGCCTTGGGGACAAAAACTTGTTGAGATCATACGAGCCAGTTGGCAGCACAGTCCCTGTGTCACTGACTAAGGGGTTCTCTGTGTCATACTGATTAACGAAGTTTCGTCGTGTTCCCTAGAAATGGTAAAACAATCCACAGAAGTTCTCGTTTGCTCAGTGGATGGGCACATAAGTTTGTTGTTGTTGTTGTTGTTTTTGAGATGGAGTCTCACTCTGTCACCCAGGCTGGAGTGCAGTGGTGCGATCTTGGCTCACTGCAACTTCCACCTCCCGGGTTCAAGTGATTCTCCTGCCTCAGCTTCCCGATTAAATGGGACTACAGGCATGCGCCACCATGCCTGGCTAATTTTTGTATTTTTAGTAAAGACTGGGTTTCACCATGTTGGCCAGGCTGGTCTCGAACTCCTGACCTCAGGTGATCCACCCGCCCCAGCCTCCCAAAGTGCTGGGATTACTGGCGTGAGACACCGCGCCCGGCCATTAGTTTTTATAAGTTAAGTCTTGCCTTGATGTTCAGTTCCTGATTGTTCAAGCACGAGAGGCATTGATTAGTATAGATAACCAGACAACAGGCATTTATTTACTAGGTCTCATGTTGTTTGACTTCTAGTCTCAGTTCTGTGATTATTGTGAAAAATACAAAAGAATTATAAAACACAGTCTCAGGTTTTAGGGAGACTGAACTCAAATTAACATCAGAATGATGAACAGGTGGTGGAGAAACAGCCCCAAGGCTTATTTGCATGTCAATCTCCATGGCAGAGAAGGGCCTTTGAGGAAGAGGTTTGCACAAAAAGGCTTAAGTTAGAAGTGGGGAAAAGCTAGACTTGGAGAAGCCATGCTTGTCCCCCAGCCTGGCCCATGGACTAGGTGAGAGGATTCTCGAAAGAGAACCTGAACAAAAATAGGAAGAGGAGACTTTAAGATATACAAAGGCTGGTGCAGAGCTGCTTTGAGGCCTCAGTGACAAAGAACAGGACACAGTAGGGACAGGGAGGGAATGGGGAAAGGGACATTCCCCTCATGTACACTTGGGGTACAAATAGCACAGCTTGGGTGCCCCACAGGTCTGCAGCTGGGGAAGCACATAAGATCAAAACTCTGGCAGTGGATCCAGGTACTGACAGGCACAAGCAGGCAATAGTGGGCATCACATGTACCAGTGTGGAAGAGCAGGGAGGGCTGCTGCTGAGCACATGGGAGGACCACCAAGGGAACCCTACAAATAACTGGGAGAGATCTGGGGTGGTGAGCGAGGTCCTCGTTGTCCAAGTAGGTGCAGTGAGCCAGTAAATTTCACCTTATTACTCAGTGTTACCTTATTTGCCCCCACATGTTGGAGCTGATTTGTCTGACCTGATTTTTGGAGTTTCTCCAACATGTATGAAGAAAACAGTGGTGAGGCAGTTCTTTCCAGGACACAGCTTGTCAGAGAAGGGGCATGCTGGGTGGAGAGAGAGGAGAGGCTCAGAGTCTGTGTCAGTCCTGAACAAGTGAAGTGAATAATGTGAACGTCATTTTTCATTTCTATGACATTTGCCCTCCTCAGAAGATTTTGGTTACTGAAATGACTTAAGATGGTTATAAATTCCCAGACTGAAAGAGAATAGGAACAGAAGGAAACATTCTGATAGAGGTTAGGTAACATTGGTAAAGTGGACTATTGCTCTCACGTGAAGTACTGTATTTACTTAAAGGGGAACTTGGCTAGGTATGGTGGCTCACTGTCATCCCAGTGCTTTGGGAGACCAAGGCGGGTGATCACTTGAGTCCAGGAGTTCAAGACCAACCTGGGCAACATAGCAAGACCCCATCTCTACAAAAGAATTTTAAAAATTCACCAGACATGATGACATATGCCTGTAGTCCCAGCTGCTTGAGAAGCTGAGGCAGGAGGCTGACTTGAACTCAGAAGTTCAAGGTTGCAGTGAGCTATGATCGCACCATTGCATACCAGCCTGGGTGAGACCTATGTCTAAAAAAATAAAAAATAAAGTGGAACTTTCCAAGTGACCTCAGACACTGTGCTGATTATGGCCACCCTCTCTTGCTGGCCAAGTAAGACAAAGGTTAACAGGTTGATTGCAGTGTGAGCAAGGCAGGTTATAAAGGGGAGATTCAGTTAATACATGCCACTCTCAATCATTAACAGCTGCACATAAAAGTATGCATCTTCTAATCAAGAGATCAGATGGCTCACGCCTGTAATCCTAACACTTTGGGAGGCCGAGGCCAGCCTGAGATCAGGAGTTCGAGACCAGCCTGGCCAACATGGTGAAACCCTGTCTCTACTAAAAATACAAAAAATTATCCAGGCATGGTGGTGAGTGCCTGTAGTTCCAGCTACTCAGGAGGCTGAGGCAGGAGAATTGCTTGAACCTAGGAGGCAGAGTTGCAATGAGCCGAGATCACACCACTGCACTCCAGCCTGGGCAACAAGAGTAAAACTCTGTCTGAAAAAAAAAACAAATTACCATGTGAAGAAATGATTTCACCTGTTTAAATAAGTCCTCCAAACTCCACCTTTGTTTTTCTTTTTTATCTTTTGACATTTGATCTAAATCATACTTATGTTAATACAAAGATCAGAAACCTGGAAAAAGATGGACAGGTAGGCTGCTCCTGTTTCTTGCAACTTCCGCAAGCTTGAAGATGTCTAGAATTGTCTATGGCTGATATGTTGCTTTTGGAAAATCTATCATCAGAATATTAAAGCCAATGTGTAAGAAAGAACTTTTATAAACTATGTCATCCTCTGCTTCCCTCTGTTACCTCCAGAAATAACTGTGTTTTCAGGGATATTTTACTACTGTTTCGGGAATGAAAAATCAGTTGCTAAATTGACATAGTCACACTTTGGGAGGCCGAAGCAGGTGGATCACGAGGTCAGGAGATCGAGACCATCCTGGCTAACATGGTGAAACCCCGTCTCTACTAAAAATACAAAAAATTAGCCGAGCGTGGTGGCGGGCACCTGCAGTCCCAGCTACTTGGGAGGCTGAGGCAGGAGAATGACATGAACCCGGGAGGCAGAGCTTGCAGTGAGCCAAGATTGCGCCACTACACTCCAGCCTGGGCAACAGAGTGAGACTCCGTCTCAAAAAAAAAAAATAATAAAAATAAATAAATAAATAAATAAATAGACATTCATTCTTCTGTGAAATATGATTTCAGATCAAATAATAGATTGCATCTATAAATAAGATCTCAGAGGAAATGTTTATGTTTGGTTCATTATTAACAGCACCTCTTCAAAATGATACGATTTTATGTCTTCTGTGTGTCAAAAACTGTGAAGAAGAGTGTAATATTTCACCTTGCAAGCTAACAAGTGAACCTGCCACAGTTTCATGGATGCTGGCTGTGTTAGTCCATTTTGTGTTGCTATAAATACCTGAGGCTGAGTAATTTACAAAGAGAAAAGGTTTATTTGGCTCACAATTCTGATGACTGGAAACTTCAAGATTGGGCATCTGCATCTGGTGAGAGCTCAGGCTTCTTCCACTCATGGTGGAAGATGAGGCGGGGCCAGAACGTGCAGAAATCACTTAGTGAAAGAGAAATAAAGGGGTAGGGAGGTACCAGGTTTTTTTTAACAACCAGCTCTCAAGGGAACAAAGAGAGTGAGAATTCATTCACCCTCTCTCTACCCAGGCCCTTCCTGTTTATTCAACCATTCATCTAGCACTCACCACCATGACTGAAACACCTCCCATAAGGTCCCACCTCCAATGTTGGGGATTAAATTTCAACATGAGGTTTGGAAGGGACAAACATCCAAATCATAGGTTGGCAGAAGACACAAGACTCTTGGCTCAGAGATGAAGAACTTTTTGACTCACAGCAAAAACACTAGGCAGAGTATCAGAATTCTCCAGTACCAGATCCAAAAGTCCCAATTGCCACAGTGCAGAGCAAAGAGAGCTAAGTGACATCTGTACACACAGTGGGTTGCATTACAAGAAAGTAAACCAGGATAGGTAACCAGAGTCTTCTAGAATGAGCAGTAAACATGTTTGCACTGTGTTCCAGAAGGAGGCACCATCTCTGTCTTCAAAGACCATTTGCTATAAAACATTGTTGAAACAATTGTCCCAAAGGCAGCCAATACCTCTGTTCACAAAATGTGCAGAACATGAGATCTGCATTATGAGTTGTTCTCATTCACACATATTTTTATTAGGCAAATGTCCATGTCATATCAAATAATATAAATTAAATGCAATAGGTCCCCCCAAAGTAACACTGGAATATGAATTTGACTTTCAAATATATAGTCTTAATTCATGTGATGCAGAATTCCCTTCTCAGTTAATACTTTTAGAAACATAATCATACAATAATAATAATATAAATAAAATATATTATTATATAAATAATATAAAGAAATGTCCCTTTTTTCTAAAGTGACAAATTAATATTTGAATTGAGGTTATTAAGTTGGAAATCAAGTAGAAAACCAGTTGGAGGCCTTTGCAAAATACATTCAATTACAAGATTTAGAAGAAAAATAGATAAAATTTCTCTTTTTAAAGTGTTGATTCAAATGGAGACATACCAGAATAAGCGAATAATCAGAAGGAAGGTTGTTTGTTTTCCTCTGTTGAGAAAGAAGCTCTTGAGCTGAGCATTGGCCAATTGTGAGACACAGCTGGTTGGTAGGAGGTTGTCTCTAAAGTTCACTGATGTTAAAGGATACCCCAGAAATGTGGGATGGAAAGAAAAGGAATTGGTTCAATGAAGGTTTTTTTCAGTGATAGATAAATACCGATCGACTAATGTTTTGTCATTGTTGTTTTTGTCTTTTTACAGCTAGAAATACTTGCTTACTAAAATGCATGTTCTTATCTCTTTCATTTTTCTTACTCATGATTTCCAAATCCCAAGCCAGGAAAGATAATAACCTGATAAATCTTAGATATACAACATTTATTCAGATAGCAAAAGCTTCAGTGGGTTGTGCTTCCGACCTATAGTATTTGATAGAACTTTAAAACCTAGCCTGTTGAAAGTAAACTGAGTTTATTCTGTTCCATTTATTTATTGAGATAAATGTGTATCTCTTTGGCTTTGGCATTTTTAGAAGTTTAGACAATATCTTTTTGTAATCCATGCTGTTGTTAATATCGACCTGTGTATTCTTATATGCTATAACTTGAATGTGCTAGAAAGCTATCCCTTATACTTTTCTCCCAACCTAGTGACCACATATACATAAATGAATAAACAAATCAATAAAATTACATTTTGGCATCGAAGTGCCTGAAGGTTTGTAAATAGGATGTTTTTCCCTAACGAAGAATAAAAGCATTGATCCTGGAGCCAAACTGTTTAGGTCCAAATCATCCCTTTAACTTATCAGCAGTGTGACCACGGGCAGTTTACTTCACTTGCCTATGCCTCAGTTTCCCCAACCGTAAAGTGGAGTTAATAGTAATTTTTACCCTAGAGGGCTGCTATGTGGACTACATGAGTTCATATGTGTAACATGTTTGGAACAGTACCTGGTACATAGGAAGTACTCTGCAAGTGTTTGCTATTACTATCTCAAAAATGGCATTTTTTTCCTTTATTGTTTCAGATCAGAGTGAAGCCTAGGCCTTGGCAAATATAAAAATATTTACATCACAGCCAGGCACGGTGGCTCATGCCTGTAATCCCAGCACTTTGGGAAGCCAAGGTGGGTGGATCATTTGAGGTCAGGAGTTCAAAATCAGTCTGGCCAACATGGTGAAACCCCATCTCCACTAAAAATACAAGAATTAGCTGGGCGTGGTGGTGTGCACCTGTAATCCCAGCTACTCGGGAAGCTGAGGCAGGAGAATCACTTGAACCCAGGAGGCAGAGGTTGCAGTGAGCCGAGATCACGCCACTGCACTCCAGCCTGGGTGACTGAGCAAGACTCTGTCTCAAAAAATATAAAAAAAAAAATTTACATCAACACAAATTCTGTAAGCACAGTGTCAGGCACATGGTAAACATTCAATAATTATTTGTTGAACGAATAGCTAGATTAAATGAATATATAGATGGATGAAGGCCATACTTCCATTTTTTTATTATCACTTTACCAGAAATTCAGTAATTTGATTGAAAATTAAGTGAAAGGACTTGGAGAATAATCCTGAGGCTGAGCCAGTGCCTGTGGGATTCTGTCAAGCCCCTGTGATTTACGTTTTAGTCAGCCCCAATTTCCTTCCTCTTTTAGACAACCTGATGTGGTTTGGATCAATGTGTGTCTCCCACTTTTTTAATCTTGTGATATTTAGCTGTCACACAGGCCAACTGGATAGAAAAAGACAGATCTACGCCCTAAGTTATAATGGATAATTAAGGTGAAAGGAAAGTATATCAGTCACACATGTCTTGAGATTTGAGATTATGTGGGGCGACAAATAAAAGTATGCACAGTCCAACTCTCCTACGGTCTGTTATTCAAACCCAGAGAGCCATGGCATTGCATCCAGGTCTTGGTGCTCAGAGCTCGCCCACCATCACCTGTGGGTGAAACCTATTTGTAACGCAATTTGGTTGGAAAGCTCTTGAGTAGAAAAGACTGTCTCTGGGGTGGGGTGTGTTTCCATGTAATTGATCCAGATGTTCTGTTTCCCTGCCTGATTGAGTGGAGACTGAGGTAACCCAATAGACATTTTCTGACATGTCTTTGCAACTGCCAGACATCCCAGCAAAGGCTTAGCTCTGAACAAAACCCCATATGACTTGGTTCCTTCCATTTTGGGGTCCACTCTGTGCTAGAAATTGTAGCGGCACAGCTCCTAGGGATCAAAGATTATATAAAGAGAGAGTGGGTGGAACCTCAGTAGACATTAAAATGTCAGAGAACATTTCAAACCTGGAACAGTACTGCTATTTCTATTAGGATCTGAAGAATCTGTTTTTGTCTTCAGAAAAATTAACCTATTGAGGAAAGTTGGCTCCTGATATTGAATTGACTTGGGGCACAATATGTGTAGCTTACATTTATTTTAGTAGTTCCAGAAAGCCTCCACCACAGAGTAAAGGGAAGAAAAATAAATTTAAAGGAGACTGTTATGGGTGGAATTTCCACTCCCTCCATCCCCCACCAAACTCATATGTCGAGGCTCTAATGTGACCATATTTGGTAACAGGATCTTTATGGAAGTAATTAAGTTAAAATGAGGTCATGAGGGTGGGCCCTAATCCAATATGAATGTTGTCCTTATAAGAAGAGGAGATTAGGACACAGACACACACAGAAAAAAGACCATGTGAGGACACAGGGAGAAGATGGCATCCACCAGAGACCCCAGAGACCAGAGAGACCTCAGAAGAAAGCAACCCCACTGACACCTGGCTCTCGAACTTCCAGCCAGAAATGTGAAGAAATAAATTTTTGTTGCTTAAGCCACCCAGTCTGAGGTGCTTTGTTACAGCAGCCATAATAACTAATACAGAGACAAAAGAATAAAGATATTTAGAGGTGGAAAAGCAGTGACTCAGAGTTATAAGATTAAAACTGTTGTAAAGGTCATAAGGAAGGTAAAAAGTTTTGATAAAAACAAGTAGTGCCACGTTTTCATGCCCAGGTCTCTCCCATTTAGATTTGCACAATCATAGTCAACTTAATCTTTCTGAACCTCAATTTACTCATCTCTAAAATGGGCTGTGAAGTCCTTGAGGCAACCACAGAGATATTTCATCTTCGTTTACTATGAATCTAGGCCATGGAAAACAGTTTTCTATCGAATGAATCAGTGATTCTAGAAAAAGAAAGCAAAGGAGTTCTCCATCCTCAAGAAGGACTTAACAATCATTTGGAAAGAGTTTATTTGTGTGCACAGGAAAATATAACCAGGAGGCAGGTAAATGCTGAGAACTCAAGAGTTAGGACTGTAAACCTCCCAGAAGGAGAGCTGGAACTTGAGACTGGGAAGATCATAGAAGGTTTCAAGGAAAAAGTGAAATTGATTTATTTTTGAGAGTTGCAGAGACAGACTGGATATGAAAACAAGATGGCAGCAGATGTGTTCCAGATTAAAGCAAAGGTAAGGAGGTAGATAATGCAGTATGCGTTTTAAGGACAATTGGAGAAGCAGCTTGGAAATGTGGATCCCTTTGCATACAGCAGAGAACACTTTTGGGTGTCAGAGCTGTAGATTAATATTTATAAGCCATGGCCATAAAAATTAATGAAGTAATTTCACCAGTTGTCAGAGGCAGAAGAAAGTTGTCCAGCCATTAAAATCAATCAGGGCTATTATGAATTCTATTATGGCAAGTGGATGTTTTATCCAATAGAAAATATTTCTTTGTACTCCTTCTGACCTGGATAATGAAACCCTACGATTCTATTCCACCCCATTGACACTTGTGATTATTTAGAAAGAGATTGCTGTGCAATCACCTTTGCTCCATCTAGGAAGAAAAGATTTGCCAAAGAAATAAACAGAATAAACAAGGCATCAAAATAAATACTTCCAGGACTTTAAAATGCCAGGGTTAATTTCAACTAATATTCCAATTGCGAATCCCTTTACTCTTTTAAAATATTTATTTATTTATTTATTTATTTATTTATTTATTTATTTATGACAGAGTCTCACTCTGTCACCCAGGCTGAAGTGCAGTAGCATGATCATGGCTCAATGCAGCTTTGAACTCCTGGGCTCAAGTGACCCTCCTATCTCAGCCTCGCAAGTACCTTTTAACCTTTACACCAAAATAGAAATCCTAAGGATTGCCTTTTGACATTGTCCCATAGGCCTATTTAATCCATTCTACATCTCCTTGAAAGCAATGGCTGGATTTTACAATTTAAGCTTTTAATTCAGATTGACCTTTACCCTAGTTATCCAAATGATGAGATTTTACTGCACTTTCAATTTCCTATGGATTATACAAAAGATAGTTATTGAGCTTCTACCATGCATAGAATTAGCTTTAGAGAAGAAATAATCATAAAATAATTGATGATGATGAACATATGTTCTATTAAAGCTATGGAGGCTTCAAAACCCTGGCAGCTGAAAAAAAAAAAAAAAGAAACAGTAACTCAAATTGTAAAAAAGGGTGAACAGCAGATGGTGAAAGAGAACAAGTCATAGATTTATTGAGGATGGTGTGACATGCAGAAAGCTGATGGCTGCATCTTCCCCAGTGAGGGGTGGGGAGAGAGAGTGAGGCAAACAAAGCTCTAATTAGTGACCTTTTATTCCTTATTAGCAACTTGGACCAGAGCTTCATGAGTGAGGCTGTTGAAGGAAGCGTTATTGGAAAAAAGCATAAGGACAGCGAGGGAAGCAAGTATTGAGAAGAAGGCAGAAAGAAACCAGCTCACAATCTAGAACTTAGCTTTCATCATAAGTGTGATGGGGAGTTATTGGGATCTTTGGAGCTGGCTTCTAATAAGATGTGAATTACATTTGATGAAAATTATTTTAGCAGTTATCTTCAGAATGCATTTCAAAGAGGGATGCAGGAAGTCAGGCTAGGTGAGATTTTGATCATCTGAGTGAGAGCTGATTATATACTGTTGTTTGTAACAACAGGGGTGATGGGGAAGAAAGCAAGAATCCTGAAGATGTTGGCATGAAGACTGAACAGAACAACAAAACATGAGGGAAAGTGAAATGAAGAGACAAAGGTGATCCTGAATGCACAGGCACAGAGGGGCCCCCTATAGGACAAGCTGTTTCAAAGGTTACTTAGGATAATTTCTAAGAAGAGGGATAGGAAACAGTATCATCCACTGTTTTATAGTTTATTCTTGCCTGTCTTACAATGGTGGCAGAAGGTTACATGCTCCTATGACAGGTGTATAAATTAATCAGCACCCTAAGTTCCTGATTTCTTGCCCACCTATCAACAAAGATGTTAACGAGCTGCAGAACTTTTAATTTGCTAATGAAATACCATTCTGCATAGTTACAGCTTTAGCTTTCATGGTCTTTAAAATCTGTATCTCTTTACCACATCTCATCTTAAAGTGCGTAAAATTGTGCACTTCCTTTGTATTCATGAGAGTTCACACTACTCATAGTGTATTGTTTACCTTAATTACCAGATTATAGAACCAAATGAAGAGCTATTTTTAAAAGTAATAATAATAACAAAATATCAATACGTGCTCAAAGAGGAATATCCCAGCTTGGGAGTATGTTCTCTCAACCTTTTATAGCCAGACAAGAATTATGAAAATTTCTCTTCTCTGAAAATGTTAAGTTGCACTAGCTGACAGTCTATGCAGCGAAAAGAGGAACAAATTAGATACAGATGACCTGGTTTACTCTCTGAGCTTTGCCATTCTTTAGGATCCAAGACCTTAGGAGAGCTACACGAATATGTGAACAACACTTTCCACCTCTGCAAAATGGGATTTTGCTTGTAAGGTTTGTAGGAAATTTCTTTCTCTGGTCTAAGTACCAAGTGGCAGCTATTATTACTGTTACAGTTTTTGTTGTTCTTCTTATCGTGCCATTGGGCTATATGACATTTTTTGGAAAGGGCCAAACTCTCAGGTCTTAGATCTAGGCCTATTCCCTAACTCTAACTTCAGGTCACTTGATTTTTAAGGAAGGTTGAGAAAGGAACAGATTTATTTTGGTGAAAGTGCTTCATAAATTATAAAATGCTTCGAATGACAGCAGTCTTTTAATGGAAAAAATTTGTTAGATGTGCAGAACTTCAGATATAAAAGCAATAGATGGTATTGTACAGCAGTTAGGACTACAGTTGATGATCAATAATGACCGATTTGGATAAGAACATATTCAAGATTCTCATGTGTTTTATGGATTTGGACTGAAATCAAGAAGCTTCTTCCTCTGAGGAGAGCATCTCGTGGGTTCTTGGGCTCTTTTTCTTAAAGCAGTGGTTTCACTTTCCAGTTTGGTCCTCAAGCCATATGTCACCTATGGGCAGCAGCTCTCCTTTCAGATAAGCAGTCTACAAGCTGATATTTTTGGCAGAAAACCACCTTCTGGGTAATAGGTCTGGTATCTGGAGGATTCCTGTTTCTGCTGTCGTTCGCTGACCTCACCTCTCTTCTGTGACTAAGTCTGTATTCACCGCTGAAGTGCATGCTTCTTGGGGAGAAATTGTGGGTACTTCCGGTTCCCCCTGTGACTTTGTGACTTAAGCAGCAGAAGCATTTCATACCATGGGTACATGCTCCTTCCCATTACCTCCCTACTGACAGGTGCTGTCAGAGTTAGAAAGTTCTGGAAGCTCCTCAAAACATAGACTTAAAATAATAATTATAATTAATAATAGCAATTAACTTCCATCACAGGTTGAGTCACCTATAAGAGATTGCATGGTTAAGTTTCTT